>NC_000001.11:55917471-56068986 GCF_000001405.40 Homo sapiens | reverse complement strand
GTTGTTGTGAATTAGTGATATGAATAAAAGTTGAATTCTACACAGCATCTTCTCAGTTGTATGACATTGGGTGGTGTAATTAAACTCTCATCTAAAATATGAGAGGGAAATTGTACCCAATTGGCTGTTGTGAGGATAAATGAAGAAATGAATGAGAAGTCACCTGGTACAATACTCCTTGTGCCAAGTTGTTGGAATAACCCTCTCTGCTGAATCATTGTTGAACTCTGCCCTCTAGTCTTAGAATGAACCACTAATTTAAAACTACTAATTTATTGCTCTGAAAAAGTAAAATCAAAGAATAAAAATTGAGCATGAGTCTGGACTTGAAAAGAAAGTATCTGAGAAATTATAAAGTGGCCTTGCTGAGTCTCTATTCTCTGCTTTAAAGCCGGGAGAGTTTCGGGTTAGTGAGAATGCTGTTTGGGGTTAGTGGGAGTACTGTTTCTGAATTTATTTGGTTTGGCTAAAATGGTTACTTCGCTATGGCTGAACCTGCAATTTCCAGGAAGTAACTGAGTTCTTGCAGCTTCAATAACAATTGTGGAGCCCACAGGGCAATCCTTCAAAGCCTGATGAGAGCACCATGGCAAGTGTTTAGTGGTGCCTTTAAGATGCTGCTGGGCAACAGCTGAAGTGCTAGGTGGAAGCCCATTAAAGGCTTTCCTGACTGCTGGGGGGTGGGAAGAAAACACGCTACATTTACAGAATGAGCTGGATTCGATATTCTTACAACTCCTTCCCATATTCCTGGATCTTATTCCTCGACCACCCTCCTAATTTCTGATGCCTGACTTCTGCTCTATGCCTCTGTGGTCTGGGGCATCCTACCACCCTGAATAGCAATCAACCTTTTCTAGAGACATCTTGGAGGGGTAGAGGAGGGGAAGAAGACAGCTTTAAGAAAGAGGTGAAGAGATTAGATGCTGCCTCTAAACAGGACTTTTTCCTTCAATTAAATGTCTTCATTTTGGGGGGTTTAGTTTAGTTTTGTTTTTTCTTTTTAGACCCCATCCAATGACCTATCATAAATGTCTTCATTGAATAGCAGGGAAAATGTATGCTTTGAAACCAGAGAACTGGGTTTGAATCTAGGGCTCATCTACATACTAACTATAACATTTTAAACCTCAGCTTTCTCATCTATAAAATGGGATAAATTTGTCTTGCAGTTTTTCTGGTAATGAAATGAGATCCTAGATGCAAAACATCTAGCTGAGAGCAGACTGCTTAGCAGAGTTCAACAAAAATGACTCTCTTGCTAATCTTTTATCATTATTGGAAAGTATATGTTTCTTGTAAACTGATTTTGATCACCTCAGTCAGAGTGTGATGGGAAGACAAGTTCTCTTTGGATCGGACTTACAACATGCAAGGGAAAAGACATATAATCCAGCAAGTATCAGAATCATAAGCATTTCACATTTTGACCTTTCTGAAAGCTTTATGAGTGTGTCGAACACAATAATTTAGACTGTCAAGATCTAGATCAACATTCCTCGTTGTGGATGGAATGGAGCTAAGGGTGAAGGTGAGAGGTGGGAATGAGCTCTTCATGGGTGAAGGGTAAGAGTGAGCTTAGAAACAATGATTAAATGGGTAGAGAGAATGACAAGTAAATGTAGAAGTGGGCTCATGATGATGTCTTGAGACTCAGTTTCCTCATTTATAAAACAAAGAGGTGAGATGAGATTGGGATTTTCTAACTGTGTACTGCCAAATTGCTTATGTTTTCTTCATGGGATTCAAGGAGAGAGACTACAAAAGGAAAGACAGAGAAGGGAGAAATTGAATACAATCATTCTTGCTAAGAAGCAGGAAGGGGCAGGATAAAGGGAGTGATATTTCATGCCTTTGGTCCATAGACTCGTGCTAATGGTTAAGGTCTTCTCCAGCTCTTTTCTTTCTCCTCTTTTCCTTCTCCTTTTTCCTTTTCTCCTTCTTCTTTGTGGAAATTAAGAAACAACAAATAATGACGTTTGCAAGCAGAATGAGCTCAGCTCCATAAACATTGGTGGAGCAGCTACGAGCAGTTATTGTACTAAGTGCTGAGGATATAAAGATGATTAGAATATGGTTCATGACTCCAGTGAACCCTACAGTCTAGTTGGAGAGACAGATGCAATATATGGTAATTTTAATATAATGTGATGAGTTCTGTGACAGGGGAAGCCCAGGGCTGTGGAAGCCTTGGGGAAGCAACGTGGTCACAGATGTCAGGGAAGATGTCTCCATAGAGGTGATCCCTATGCTGAGACTTGAAGGATGAATAGGAGTTAGCCCTTCAAGAAGAGGTGAAGGACAATGTACCTGCTCAGAGCAATTACCCTAGCCATCCTGGTTTATTCCTCCAAATCACTCCCAGGACAGAAACATGGAAATCATTCCAAATCATTGGCTTGGGATGGTTTATTTTGGACGTGCTCAGCACTGAGTACATATTTTTCTAGGATTTGTGAGGAGATGGATTTCCATGTGTGCTGTGCTTCAGGGTGTCTCCTCGGGGTGTTTATTTACTGTGCTTTATTCCATAACCTAGCGGGGTGTCACAGCTGGAGGCAGCTGGTGGTAAATAAATAGCTTCCATTACCCAATCCCATCACCATCCTCCATCCTGCTTCAAAAACAGGGTCTCAGCCCATGGGTTCCTCTGCCCTCAAATCCACTGCAAAGTGTCAAAGCCCTGCAGAGTTGTATGAGTGTTTCCTTATAAAAATGTATTAAGAGGTAAAGCAAAGGACACTGTAGAGCACCATGGAATTCAGACTCCGAGAGAAGATAGGCTTTATTAGGAAAACTTGTTTCCTAATTAACCTTATTACATAGGTTCCTTGATAGAAAAAGACACAAACAAACAAATCAAACTTCTCATCTTATGGTCTGCTGTGAAGGTGATTTGGAGGTTATTCAGTTAAACATGGTTTTGTTGAGACTGTCCTATGTGTTCTTTGCTTTCACACATTTTATCTCATGTGGTGATTTTATGTTAGGTTTGTCAAACCAATAATGAATGAGGATGAGACTCAAATATGTCAGGAATGTTGGACTTAATCAGAGTGGGAATTTAAAACAATTATGACTAACGTGCTAGGGGCTCTAGTAGATACAGCAGAGAGTATGCAAGAACAGATGGGAAATGTAGGCAGAGAGACTGAATTTCTAAGAAAGAATGAAAAGTAAATGATAGCGATATAGCAGAGTGTGTAACTATTTCCTAGGCAGTAGAAATTCTGCTACGGACTGACCATTTAACATGGCCTCATCATTTCAAAAACTACATCACAGAGAAGGATGAGGCTGTTCACTAGTTCATAGCCCAGCCACTCTCATCCCTTAACACCTCGAAATCACTGTTTTTCAGTTGTACACAAATACCAACTAAGATCTACTAGTTCTCCCCCATCTGAGAGTAAGGGTCTAATGGAATACAGGAAAGGGACAGATCTCATATTCATTAGTGGAGAGAGAGGAAAGACTTACATTCCTAAGTTAGCCGACTCCAAGAAGGCTCTGAGAAGGGGGCTGAAATATGCATTTGAAAGTGAATACGGTATTTATCCACTAAGATAGTTAAGATTTATAAGTGGTCAAAGTATTTGTCCAAGGGAGAAAACTGAATATCTATAATTTTCTTATGACTGTAACTGTCTTCCTAAGTCTACTGACCTGCAGTAGTGTCATGCTATAGAGGTGCTCATATATTCTTTATTATCAAGCATTTTTATGTACTGATTTATACACAGATGACACAACATAACATTTATTAAATGTTACTTCCCTACCCTGTCCCAGCTCTTGTCTCCTTTTCTGGCAATAGAAATAGACTGGATGAAGACGCTATAAACATAGGTGAAGGGTGAGATTAATGCATAATTTAGGTATGTTTTCTTCATTCAAACCAAAGAGATTAGATTATCCGCTTTGCAATTGTAAAGCCCTTGAGGTCACAGAACATCGTATGAGTCATAGTCATAAAAACTCATCTAGGATTGACAAGCATGACAAGAATCCTCATAAATGTATCCAACAAGGGTTGTATGCAGCAACCATTCTTTTGTACCATGCTTCTCTTCTTGCTGCAGCTGTATGGTTTCACAACCACCACCTTACATGTTTGGCTTTGCCTTTTCCATTGAAAAAGGCCAGCCACTATGATCTCATTTTCTTGTTCATAGAGTGGGAATAATAATTCCTATCTCTGAGGAGAGGAGGTCATGTGGGGACTAATCAGATAATAGTGTATGTACTTCCGGATATTGAGCAAGTTTTCAACATGGTAATTCTTGCCTTCTATGTCTCCCTTATTCTGAAGGTTAATACTCAATACTTTCTACTTCAGGAATAATTTGAAGTGCCCTAGTTAAGTGAGTATAGTGACTAAACTTCAAGTAGTCTAACTGATAATTCTGCAATGGCAGTACACCTCCTCTCTAAAGACTAGGGTTTGTTGTTGTTGTTGTTGTTGTTTTAACTTTACTCTTAGGAAAAAAAATCCTCACCTTATACTCAGATACAAGCCTCTGGATCCCTCTGGACCAAATTTCCTAACTGGACTTGGTTGATGACCTCCTCCTCCCTGCTGTTCAGAATGAGCCCTGAGGCTTCTATGGCCTGTCCTGCTCCGCCATAGCTTCCTGTCAGACAATGGAAAGGCAGTCTAGCCTCACTTACCAATGGCCATTACCAATAGTCTTAAGTAACATAGCTGGCAGATGAGCTCTCCTTGAGGTCTAAACAAGATTGGTTCTGGCCCTTATTTCTCTGATTTTCCCAATATGCCTATGATTTTTGGAGGCTTAGGTACTCATGGCCACCTCTGATTTTGCCTTCTGTCTTGTGGATCACTTACTTTCATCTACTGTCTCTGTTCTGCATCATGTCAATCCTCTGCCTTGATTTCTCTAGAAAAGCAGCTCAAAAAATTTGTATTTGTGGTACATTTACTAAAGATTGAGAGAGTGGTCAGAGAAGGAATTTACATTGCAGCAATGCAAATAATTTTAAATTTAGCATAAGGCTTGTGGTAGATCAGATCGTTGTTTAGCAAATATCCACTCTTACTACCAGCCCTCCTCCATCAGAGGAGTTTACTTGCTCACTCCATTGATGGTGGGCTTGGTCATGTGAGTTGCTTTGACCAAAGATTATTATTAGAGGGAACATAGGCAGAGGTTTAAAATGTGCTTTCAAGGAGGGCTCCTATTATTGTAATTCTGTTATTTCCAAGAGAAAAGTGTGCACTATGTAGCCCATTCATCCCAGAAGGATGACAGCCTTGTGTCATAGACCTGGAACAGACACATGGCCTGGAGCCATACGCAGCCTAGGCCAGCCAACTTTCAGCTGACCCACAGACGCGTGAACAAGAAATACTTGCTTATTGTTGTTTTGAGTTTTGAGGTCATTAGTTATGCAGCAATATCTTACTGATACAAAGCTTCATTGTTCCTAAACATCTTTCGGCAACCTTGGCAGTGAGGAGCTTTCACTTTTCTCTTCATGTTGTACAGTGGCCTAGTCTCATGCCATTTCACTAATTGTTCTTCATTTCTCCTTCTTCTCCCCAAACTTCTGTCTTTCCAGTACCCCCAAACCACTATTAATTTTGGATGTATTATACATTATTTATCTCTTTTGGTGACCTTAGCTCATGCCAATGCATATCTCAAAGTGATGATTTCATTTCAAGCTGCTTTAAAGAATTTTAATAAACAAAGATTCTTTATAGGGGGAAAGAATGTCTTTTCTGTGCTACCTGTTAAGACAATAACACTTTTCTTTCTCATCTATTATCTGCTCTCACCTCTGCCCCCTCATCACAATCTGACTTTGCTATTCCTTGGAGAATTCCAACAATTTTATCAGGCAGAAGGCCAAGTCTAGGTGGTCTGCACTTGCGCAGGGTATATTTTTGCTTGGAATTCATACGGATCTGGGCTTTTTAACTAGTCTGATAGCTGTGTCATTAAAAAGCATTTAAAACCCCCTTACTCTGCCCCCACCTTTGACCTTGTTTCCCTGTCCATCCCAGCATCAATGTAGCACTAGGTCCTCTGGCTCTGTCTTCTGCTCTTCCAGTCTCCGTCACTGGCTTTTAACCTGGCATGTGTTCATTTTCTGACCTTTCCCAATCCAGGCCCTTCTGTGCAACTGCCACTCCCTCTTCCCCTCAAGTTCAATGACGAAAGACGCCCATGCGTCAGAACAGTGCCCTGGTTTCTCTGACTGGAGGCTCTGAGATATGGATAACAAGAGTTTCTCTACCTACTCAGGGCTTCATGGAGGGATAGGGCAAATACCACCCTCAATCCCAGCCAAGCTTGCCATCACCATTCCTGTTTCTTGCCAGTCCTGTGTCCAGAATATCTTCCTGATGTTCCCCTCCATGTTTTGGATCAATTTTTCTGTCTGTGTTGTTTCTGGAGCTGCAGCCTTTTAAGACCTAGGCTCCTGAGGCACTTATGCCCTGTTGCTCTTGATTCTCAGGGTTTCTAGAACCTGCTGTACCTGCTAGCCCTGTCTGGCTATGTGATTTGTATATAGTCCCTTCTATTGAGCTGTCCCTCCACTTCTTTTTGCCCCATGTTCCTAAGCATGGTGTTTCCCATACTCAATGCCTCTCTGCTGTGACACATCAGGTGGCAGGGCCATGGGGGCTTCACCCTATCTTCTCTTAGGGGCTCTTGTTGACACTCGGTACCCAAGTGCCTCCTGGATCAGGACCAGGGTCTTTATATGTCCACAGCACTGAAAGCATCATGATTTCCCTCCCACATATGTAATTTGAAAATAAAATCAAATTACTTATTAGCCATTCCTCCTTTGCCAATGTCCTAAGCATGGGTTTAGTTCACTGCTGTTAGAAAATCCAGCACTGATGAACCTCTCTCAGTCTTGCTCATACCCATCCTCCTTCCTGCCTGTGCTACCTGTTAGGCCTGTTATATAACTGCCTACTCTGCACTTCCTCTTACCATGCCCTTCTGGAAAGATGAGTGTTCTGCTCTGCTGCTTAGAAAGGACTTCCTCTTTTGTCTTCTTTCTTGGAGGGAGGAATTAACCTGGTTAGTATTATGAGTGGCTATTTAAATTGTGCTTTCTTGAATCTGGCTATCTTAGTTTTCTTTTCTCCCCCATCTACAACCAAATCCACCTGACACCTATTTCTTGCAAAAGTTTTGGTGTTTATTGGGGAGATGGGACTGCCAATGGAGAAGACGCTTCCTGGGGTCCTTGGGCAGCCAAGGAGCAGCATGAGAGCAACTGCGTTGGTAAATCATGGAGGAGAATTTGCCACTACAAGACCTGTGCCTGCCAGAGAAAATAGCAGTAAACACAGCCTTTTGTCTGTATGAAAGACTCTGCAGTTTATAAGGCTTTCACAGAATTTTCTAAATCCATCCTCACCACAGTCAATTTTATATTATCCTAATATTATCCTCATTTTATAGATGAGGAATTAGAGCCCAGAGGGCTTAACTCACTCCCAAACTTACCCAGATGGTATAAAAAAATTTAACCAACTGGAGGATTTTGTCAAAGGCTGGCCCATATTTGAGATTAATTTTGGCCCATTTCAATTCATAAAACTGAAAAAAATGAGTTTTTTAAAATTTATTTAAGTTATTTGCACATATTTATATTTATACCCCATCTTATTTCAGACAAGATTTAAGCAAACACACATATACACTTACACATATCCCAACTGAATATGTGGGAACTACATTTTTGAAAGATTTTTTTAACCCAAAACCTCAAATGATTTGTTTAGCTTTTGGTCAACAAACAAGAGCACTTGTATTTCTATCACTAAGTTTTTGCTTTTGCAGGGGGGTGAGTAATGTCTAGCAAAGCCTCCTCTGTTGAAACCCAAATACACTCAAGTTGAGCACTTAAACCGAGGCAGAGGAAGCCAAGACCCAGCAAGCCTGCCAGATGTTTATACTGCCTTTTCATGGAAAGCTAAGCTTTTTATTTTTGTTTGCTTATTTGTTGAGCTGTGGAAGGGAAGTTTGAACAAGACCCATTCCAGGGCAATGAAGGGCAGAATGTTAAGAGGTACTGATGAAATACATGGCTGATCTCTATGTGGGTGATGGTCTGGCTACTTGATAGCCAGGGAAATCTGGGGTCCTTGGAAGGCAGAGGGCACAGGACGCTGGTTCTGGCTGTCACTTGGATAGCTATGTAGTTGGTGGGCAAGTGACTTGCCTTGGGGAAAATGGCTTTGCCACTAAGAACATAGGCCCTGGAATTAGGCATTTCTGGGCTTGAATCCTAGTTCTACCCCAGGTAAGCCATATCGTATCTTTGAAGCCTCATTTTCCTATCTATAAATGGGAATCACTTCTTATTGGGATTTTGTTAGAAATTAATGATATAACCTCATTAAAGCCTTTAACAGAGTGACTGGCACTGTCCTGAAGCTCTCAGTTTCTTCACCTCTGGGTGAGCCATTAGGCCCCTTCTGGCTCAAATGCTTTTGGGATCTACCGTGGTGCCAGGATTGCTCTGGACTGCCTGCTTTCACAGCCAGCTACCCTTTTCTTGGCCTCTGGATTGTCTCAAGGCTTGCCTTGTCTTTTCATGTTGCTGGGACAACTCAGGCACCAACTTGAGGGAAGCCTCCCTTCAGGTGAATAAACACATTGACGGTATGTATGTATCTTGGACCAGGGGCTGTGGCCTGTGTAACCAAAGAAGAATTTCCACTGAGTTACAAGATTAGCCACTGGCATTTAGACACTGGAGGCTGGAACACGCAAGGGCATATGTTTTGGGGGCTTTTTCTGTCTTCCCTCAGTACTTGCTGAATTGGACCCCTCACCTACAACGCCCTCTCCCCTCTTGACTCTGTATCTCAGACCTACTGAGAGACAGTATGGAGCAGAAGACAAAGTGAGTGCTTCATAGTCACACACACCAGGGTTCCATCCTGTTCCTGCTACCCCCTTGAAATGTGACCTTGGGCATGAATTTAAATAGTTTAGTCAGTATGGCATGATGGTTAAGAGCATGGAAAATGGATCCTGAGTGTCTGGCTTCAAATCCTAACTTTACTACTTACTAATTCTGTGAACTTGAACATGTTATGACCTTGCTCTACCTCAGTTTCCTCATACTTAGGATAGGCAACTCTCATTGTTTGCTACAAGGATTACATAAGAAAGAGAGAGGTAGACAGATGAATAGAAGATAGATAGATAGATAGGTAATAAATGGATAGATGATAGGTAGATAGATAATAAATGGATAGATAAATGATAGGTAGATAGATAATCATTTAGAACAATGTTTCATGATTAGTTAATACTAAGAAAGAGTTTGCTATATTATAATCTGTTGTTAAATTATTTACCTGTAAATTGAGTGATGATAATCCTACTTCTTAGAGTTGTTTTGCGGTAAGGTGGTTGCTTTTCGTTATTCATATCCTCAGCTAAGCTCAGCTTCTATTTTCATTGTTTTCTTTTTTCTTTTAAC
Source organism: Homo sapiens (assembly GCF_000001405.40). Taxonomy (NCBI): domain Eukaryota; kingdom Metazoa; phylum Chordata; class Mammalia; order Primates; family Hominidae; genus Homo; species Homo sapiens. The sequence goes on along the minus strand of NC_000001.11, from coordinate 56,059,500 downwards.
TGTAGGTTTATTTTCTTTTCCAAAAATCTCTGTCTCAGGACATAAATACAAATCAGAAAAAAGTACATTTAAGACCTCAGAATATGGAGGACAATATGTAAGAGTGATATCATTTTTAGTTGGTTGAAAACAAAGCTGTAAGAATTGCTTTCACTAAGAAGTACTTACTCTTTTCAAGGTTAATAAATAAATCAACTAAAATTTAAAGTCATATATACAGTACAGCCCTCTCAGACATTCTAGTAAATACATAGGTGTGAACAACAACATAGGCAATACTTTTATTCAGTACTTTTTTTTGTACAATGTTTGTTGATGAGAAATTTGTTAGACAAGTCTGGTTTCATTTGTTGCTAAATCATGACCTCTTAGCTAACTATGGTTGTCTTCTGATCCTCCTAGCATACATACATTGCCTTCCTCTTTCCATCTTTGTATCCCCACCAAGTGATGCCTAATAAAAATTAAATAAATGTTGATTACAAGAATGATTAGAATAGCAGTCGAGTGTTTTCTTTCAATTTATATACACTTACCTTACCAAAGTTATTCTTGGATTCTCCCAGGGTAACTCTATCTCAGCTTTTTCTATTACTTGTGTTTTTGAGGGATGGTGATGAACGCTACAAGGGAAGAACTATTTGCTCTTAATTAATAATCAAGACTGCTAACTGTCCCCAAAATTCCATTCTTCCCTGCCGGATGTTTACGCTGCCTCTTTATGGGAAACTAAGGTTTTAATTTTTATTTGCAAAAATACAGCAAGATGAGATCTCCCGGTTTCCCTTATATGAGTTGTGACCACATAACTCAGTTCTCTGGGAGTCAGTGTGAAGCATGAATAATGATCCCATCTCCAGGTTCAGCCCTCCTCACTCTCCCCAAATGCGCCTCCATGCTCATTCTCTCTTCTAGTCCACTGAGATGTCAACACCTTGGGTAATCTTGGAAGCCACAGAGTAAATATATCAAGCTACCACCAGCATGGGGAGGAGTGACCCTGACAACACCCACCTAGAAGTATTACATGTGCAAGAAGTACATTTTAAATGTATTAATCCACTTAAGTTTTTTTTTTCTCTTTCTTGCCATAGCTTAGCCTAATGCAGTGTAGGACACATAAACAAATAGAATCTTTTGTCTAGGAAAATACAGCTACTAATTTATCTGAGCTCCCAAAGTGAGAGGTAGAGGAAACTAAAATTCCTTTTGTGCTAAATACCAGACACAATACTTGGCAAGTACTGGGTGCATTGCAGAATTCCTCCCCTAGGATTTGTCTTGGAAGCCCACGACGTTAGGTATTATGATCCCTGTTTAACAGATGAGGGATATGAAACAGAGAAAGGAGATGTCATTTGCTTAGCAAGTAACTGAGAGAACTGAGAATCAAAGGCAAACCAGATAAAGTCCAAAGTTCTTTTTCCTGCTGCTGCTGCACATGAGAGATGTCCAGTCAACTGCTCTATTCCCAAGATGTTTACTGTGGACAAAGAAAGCATCCTATAAGTTGATATATAAGTCAGTCTTGTTTTTAGACACTTTGAATGAACAGTTTTTGTTTGTGCTTTTTAACCACATACACTTGAACTGTTTCATGAGAAGTCTGCACTTCTTCAGACTGGGGAATTGCCCATCTCGCATGCTAAGTATTAACATGGGAGAGTCTATAGACAGCATGATGTGTGGCCTGGTGCCAGGTCAGGGCAGCTGACCATAGCTTTCCTGGCCCTTTTTAGGGTTCATGGCCTTTTTGGCCTCTGTCATACCCATACTCAAAGTGGGTGCCTTGTCTACATTCCTTAGCCTTTCTATGTAAACAGAACACCCTAACCCATTTATGCAACTTTCAAGAGAGCTTTGTAAACATAGAGATGGCTTTAAGCCTCCTTTCTCTCACTTGCTTTAATAAAGTGCTGGGGTATAGAAACCAGCCTTCTTCCATCTCGATCATCCTGAGAACATCTCCGGGCTTTAGTTTCCCCTTCTCCAAAAGAAGGGGCCTAGAGCTGGGACTTTTTAATTTGCTACCACCAAAGATACCATTTTTTGTAAAACTTTAATCTCAAGGAGTCCTAAGTTTTATGAAACCAGAGAACCATGTCTTATCTTCAGTGTTTAGTACCATACCTGGCACAAAACTGTTTTTTTGCTAAATATTTGCTGAAGACACTACAATCTACAAAACTCCATAAACTTGGTAGTCATTAGGGGTCTTCACTAAATATTTCAAATGCTCTCGCCTTCTGATAACTGGATGGGATCACACTGCCAGGCCCCCTAGGGCTATGCTGGGTCACTGGACTTAATCTGGCCAGTGATCTGCAAGAGAAGTATTTAATCACCAGTGCGCAGTCCTCAAGAGTTCTCATTTTCCTCTGCAGGGAGAAGGCAATGTTCTAGATAGAAACTGCTTTATTGGCCTGGGTTTCTTGGAGCGAAGAAACATTGAGGAGCAGATCCCCCAGCTGATTCAGCAGACGTGCAGCAGAAGCCGACGGAAACCTCTGCTGTTTTAAGGCACTGAGATTTTGGAGTTGTTTGCTATCATAGTGTAATCTATCATCTCCTAACTGATTCAATGTGTTTATCACAATTAATTGGTTTTTCTCAGTTTTAATAACCATAGAAATACACAGCTGTCATTCAGAGCCTCTAACAAGAAAGTGGTGTGACTCATTAAACTGGTAGCACTCCTGCCAAAACCAAAGCAATGTGATCATTCCAGTAGCAATTGTTGCAATAGAACCGTTTTATTATTTGTAAGATAAATGTAATTTCTGCTAGGCTTTTTCAGCCTCTGGATATATCTTAGATGCTCATGACTACTTCAGCTCCTGTTTTTACTGAGTGTGCTTAGTTCAACTGTCACTGGCTTATGTATCCCGGGGCCCTTCCAGTTGGGCATGCTGGAAAAAAAAACATCCTCTTTGGAAGCAGTAGTACGTTCTTGAACCTCTCTGAACCTCAGTTTCCTTACTTATAAAACAAGAATTACAAATACTACCTCACAGAGTTGTCATGATCATCAAATGAAATATTATAATTGCTGCTCTTCAAGCAGTATACAGCACAGGTACAGCTGGCTCTCTGAATGGGTCAGGTACCTTTCAGCTCTAAGGAAGGTGACCATGAGTTTAGGTTTGCCCTAAATGCTCCCAGTTTCTGCTACTTGTTCTTATATCACAATTATTATTTTAAAAATAATGATGTATTTAATTTAATCTGGAGCAATTTTGTTCAATCTTTCTATGTCTTTTGTGGCATTGACATTTTTAAAGTGGACAGGTCAGTTATTTTGCAGAATGTTCCTTAATTTGGTGTTATCTGTTTCCTCATGATTAGATTTAGATTATGCTATTTTTTGGCAAAAATGTCACAGAAAGATGTGTGTTCTTCTCAGTGCTTTGTGTCAAGAGGCACAAGATGTGAAATTGTCCCCTTACTGGTGATGTTAATTTTGATCTCTTGGTTAGGTGGTATCTTCCAGATTTCTCTGCTATGAAGTTTACATTTTCCCCTTTGTAATTAATAAGTGACTTTGCAAGAGATAACTTAAAACTATGCACATATCCTGTTACTCCTGAAACTTTCATCCAGGAGTTTTAATATCCATTAATAATTCTTGTCTAAATCTATTATTGTCATGGCTGCTGTCTTAGTTTGTGTTGCTATAACAAAATACACAGACTACATAATTGATCAAATAACAGACACTTATTTCTCACAGTTCTGGAGGCCTTGGAATTCCATGATCAAGACACCAGCAGATTCAGTGTCTGGTGAGGGCCTGGTGCCTTGGTGCTAAGTCCTCAAGAGAGGATGAACATTGTGTCCTCACGCGGTGGAATGCAGAAGGGTAAAGGGCCTAGTTAGTTGCTATCAGCCCTTTAAGGCACTTAATCCAATCCATGAGAGCAGAGCCCTCCTGGCCTAATCACCTCCTAAAGTCCCCACCTCTTAATACTATCACATTGGTATCAAGATTCAGCATATGAATTTTGGAGGACACATTGAGAGTATAGCAATTACCAAATGGTGATCTTCTAAATACAATATTTTTTTACTTTTATTAGTTGGCTTTCTACTGTAAGGAAAAGCTTTCCCTTCCCGATCATTTGCTTACTCAGATCCATAGGGACTCACATATGTAGTCTTATTTTAGTCAATGGATTTTGACATTGATTTTGTTGATTTTCTTTGATGCTCAAATTGTACCACTGGCCATCTCTAGTCATTTTCTAAGTCTGTTTCAAAAACCATGTCTTTCAGAAGCCTGATTTAGTCCACTTCAGCCAGTCAGTAACTCTCATTTCTGTGCTCCTCTCAGTCTATGTACTTTCCACTCCTTATACAAGTTTCTTATTGGGTTGTACTTGTTGGTTTCTTTTCTCACATTAGATTGTGAGCTCTTCAGTATGAAGGAAGTGTCTGATTTATCTCTATATCCTTAATGCTTAGCACAGAGACTGGTGCATGGAGGAAACTCAATTTTTCCTTATTAAAAAGCATGAATGAATGGAAGAAAGAAAAACAGTTCTTAAGTTTCTACCAACCAGTTCCAATCCCTTTTTGGGGTACTAGCTTTAACTAGCAAAAAGAAATTATCTGTAACATTCATAGCAGGCTGCTGTGAGTCTTGCAATAGTGAGGCTGATTCAAGGTGGATTAAATTGTCAACATGTTTGAATTTAACATAAATGATCCCCCCATTTCAGAAGCTGCCTGCCAACTCTGATCTCATATCCTTAGTGATTCTTTACTATTAGCTTGATATGGTGTTGTTTTCTCTCCTAGTTCCTCACTCAATAGGAACTGCTCTCCCCAAAGATGAAAAGAAGGGATGTAATAACCTTTCCATCACAGGTGGTGAACCTAGAGGAGAGGATCTGAATCCCTGATCAGTCGGTCCAGGTTTGGCTTCCTTTCTGTGCAGCTCAGATGAGTGACTTTGGGTGAGTTGCCTAACCTGATTCATCCTTTGCTTCCTTCACTCTGAAATAAGGATCATAGCATCTGTGACCCCAACTGAGGTAACCTGAGTGAAAGCAAAATCACTTTGGAACTGAGAAACTGCTCTCTGGAACCTCCGCACCTTGGCACGTGGCAATCCATTTGCCTGAGATGCCCTTCCTTGCCTCTGTTGTCTCTTTCTTGGCAAATCCTTTCTGATACCTCAGGGTTCTGCCTATGTGTCATCTCCTTGAGTGACATAGTGCACTCCAGGTCTCTGTTTTGTCTGTACACACATAAAAAGTCCCCTGGGTTATACATTTTGTGTTCACAGCCTAAGCCCTGAACTGCACCCGGATGTTTCTCCTCAAGGTCATGACGGTGTTATGTATTTATTTCTTTGTATAATAATGATCCCCAGTTAAACTTTTATCTTTCTGACCATGAAATTATCTTTTGTCTCCCTCAAGTTCCCCCTCAAATCACAAGGTGTACCCCAAATTCTCATCCTTGAGAATATCCTCTATGTGAGGCACTCATGCCTGCTCATCCTAACCCAATATACTTCCCCTAGATTTGGGAAGAAGAAAACTGTTTTAGGTGCCAAGATGGACTGCAGAGGCCAGAAAATATGTATTAAAAGAGGAGACAATATTTTTATCAGGGATTTTTAAAAGGAGCCAGATAGGTGACATTAAAACTTTCCTTTGGCAGCTCATTCCCAATGAAGAAGTAATCAGACTCCACCTGATTTATCAGCTTTCACAACCAACTCTATTTTCTTTCTCTCATCCCTGTCTTTCCTTCAAGTGCAATCTAGGGTGCAGCTACTTTAATCTTACTGTTCTTCAAACATGACTTCTTCCTTGTTTCTTTGTCTTGTCTCAAGGTACTTCTTCTGCCAGCATATCCTGTCCTATCCCTCAATGTTACCCGGAAAATTGCTCAAAAATCATCTTTTCTGTGAAGCATCCCAAATCATCCCCAAGGCAGTAGGTCACTCACTTCTTTGAACATTCCTCAATAACAGCACAGATCAAGGGCCTGTGCTACCTTCTGATCTGCAGCTGCAAATATTGCCTGATGCAAAATGAATACTCTGTAATATTTCTGAAAAGGTGAAAGTGAAATAATGTGGGACGGAGCTTATAGTCATTGTTTATGTACACATTCCAGGCATAGGGTTAGAAGCTTTGAACATACTGTATCTTAATTTTTACAACAACAATTTTTAGTAAATTTTCTTATTTTCAAAGGACACTGGGGATCAGAGAGTGAAGAACTTGCCTATGGTCACACACCTGGTAAGCAGACATCATATACAAACCATGTTCTCTCCAATACATACACTACCATTTCTATATTTAGAAAATATGTCATAAATAGGATGTAAATGCTAACTTTTCCTATTTAATTTCCTGTTTTACTAGATTACATAAGAGGACACAAATGTTATAGTTTTGGTTTGTTGCTTATTTATCTGTACGACCTTGAATACATTTTAAAGGAATTCACTCAACTATCATCTCCTGTAAAAAGTGTTTCTTGAATCCCTAGGCTGGATAGAATATCTTTCCTTTGTCTTCCTGCTGTGGCCTGTGCATATCACTGGTGTTAATTCAAATAATCATCCCTTATTTGTCAATCTTTCCTACTAGACTGTTTTTTCCTTAAGAGCTGGACTGTGTCTTAATTTATCTTTTCTTTCTTTGAGCCTCACTCAAGAACTGGCACATAGTGAATACCTACTTAGTATTTATTGGGTTAATAAATATATGAAAGAATAAAACTCCTTACCCTATTTAGGCCCCACCTTAACAATATGAAAAATAAAAGGTTGGACTAAGTCAGAGACACCACGAATATGGTACATGTGCCACACTGATCCTTTGCTGTGTCCTTGGCAGACATTGCAAATAAATTACTTCTTTCTATTCTGGACATAATTGCAAAATCTTTCTCACTTTAGGGTGCACCTCCTATGAGTGAACTTTATTGCCATACTTAATTAGATGTTCTTTCTGGCCCTTGACAGTTTCAGATGCTCAGAGTCTGGTCCTTCCCGTCAGAAGGAAGTATGTGTAAGATGCTACCAAAGGTTGGGTCTAGGGGATGATGAATGATATTCCTGCCTCTATGTCACCTCCTGAATTTTCATCACTGCATTCCTGATTTGACAAGTGATTTAACATCCTAGGCTGGGGAAGGACTGATGGATGAATTGGTCCTCTGTGCATGGCTGTTGGGCAGGAAATTAATAAGAATGCTAGCTGACATGATCTATGGTACTGTCAGCTCATTATGCCTGATTAGCTTCCAGCCTTTCACTCCCTCTGACAGCTACAGGGCCTCAGGGTTTCCAATGGCAACTATTTCCCTTTCTCTAATTGATTGCTAGGTCTCCGGCCATGAAACCAAACCCTCCCACAGACTTGTCAGAGTAGGGAACCTTTCTGCATCATATTACGTTCTCCCTTTTGGCAGTGGGAAGGTGAGCTCCTGGATTGTCTAAGTGGTGTTGACAGTAAAGCCCTTTGAACTCAGGAAACAAAATTTGAAGGGGTCAAATCAGTCTAGTTGATCAAGTTCTTATCAAACTACTTACCATGTGCTGAGGTCTGTGTTCAGTAAGGAAATGGCAAAAGAAGTAGATCATATGACAATAAAATAGGAGAGAAGCTTTAAAATATATTTCAACAAACATTTATGATGTACAATAGCAACAAACACTGTGGCCTATATTCAATTGAATCCAAATTGAATTGTGTGTGTGTGTGTATATATATGTATATATACACACACATATATATATATACACATATGTGTGTGTGTGTGTACAAAGTGAATATATACACACAGGCACACCTTGTTTTATTGCACTTCATTCAATTACACTTCACAGATACTGCATATTTTACAAATTGAAGGTTTGTGGCAACCCTGCATTGAACAAGTCTGTTGGTACCGTTTTCCCAACAGCATGTGCTTGCTTCATGTCTCTGTCACATTTTGGTAATTCTTATAATATTTCAAACTCTTTAATTATTATATGAGTTATAGTGATCTGTGATCAGTGATCTTTGATGTTAGTATTGTAATTGTTTGGGGTGCCAGGAAATAAACTTAATTGATAAATGTGTATTTTCTGACTGCTCCACAAACTGATGGTCTCTCTGTTTTCTTCCTTCTCTCTTCAGGCCCCCATACTCCCTGAGACACAACAACATTGATATTAGACCAGTTAATAACTCTACAATGGCCTGTAAGTGTTCAAGTGAAAGGAAGAGTCGCATATCTCTCACTGTAAATCAAAAACTAGAAATGATTAGGCTCAATGAGGAAGCCACGTTGAAAGCTGAGAAAGGCTGAAAGTAGGCTTCTTGTGCCAAATAGTTAGTCAAGTTGTGAATGCAAAGAAAACAGGCTTGAAGGAAATTTAAAGTGCTACTTCAGTGAACACATGAATAATAAGAAAGTGAATCAGCATTATTGCTAATAGAAAGGAAGTTTCAGTGGTCTGGATAGAAGATCAAATCAGCCATAACATTCCCTTAAGCCAAACCCTAATCCAGAGCAAGGCTCTAACTTTCTTAAATTCTGTGAAGGCTGATAGAGATGAGGAAGCTGCAGAAGGAAAGCTTGAAGCTAGCAGAGATTGGTCCATGGGGTTTAAGGAAAGAAACCGTTTCCATAACGTAAAAGTGGAAGGTGAAGCAGCAAGTACTTATGTAGAAGCTGCAGCAAGTTATTCAGAAGATTTAGCTAGGAACATTGATGAAGATGGCTACATTAAATAACAGATCTTCAAGGTAGATGAAATAGCCTTCTATTGGAAGAAGATACCATGTAGGACTATCATAGCTAGAGAGGAGAAGTCAATCCCTGGCTTCAAAGCTTCAAAGGGCAGGCTGACTCTCTTGTTAAGGGCTAATGCAGCTGGTGACTTTAAATTGAAGCCAATGCTCACTAATCATTCAGAAAATTATAGGGCCCCTCAAAATTATGCTAAATCTACTCTGTGCACTATAAAGGAAAAACAAATGCCTAAATGACAGTACATCTTTTAAGCATGGTTCACTGAATAGTTTAAGCCCACTGTTCAGACCTACTGCTCAGATAAAAAGATTCCTTTTAAAAGATTACTGTTCATTGACAATACACATGGTCACTCAAGAACTCTGATAAAAATGTACAAGGAGGGCTCAGTTCTGTTCCATTGGTCTATATCTCTGTTTTGGTACCAGTACCATGCTGTTTTGGTTACCGTAGCCTTGTAGTATAGTTTGAAGTCAGGTAGCGTGATGCCTCCAGCTTTGTTCTTTTGGCTTAGGATTGTCTTGTCAATGTGTGCTCTTTTTTGGTTCCATATGAATGTTAAAGTAGTTTTATCCAATTCTGTGAAGAAAGTCATCAGTAGCTTGATGGGGATGGCATTGAATCTATAAATTACCTTGGGCAGTATGGCCATTTTCACGATATTGATTCTTCTTAACCATGAGCATGGAATGTACTTCCATTTGTTTGTGTCCTCTTTTATTTCATTGAGCAGTGGTTTGTAGTTCTCCTTGAAGAGGTTCTTCACATCCATTGGAAGTTGGATTCCTAGGTATTTTATTCTCTTTGAAGCAATTGTGAATGGGAGTTCACTCATGATTTGGCTCTCTCTGTTTGTCTGTTATTGGTGTATAAGAATGCTTGTGATTTTTGTACATTGATTTTGTGTCCTGAGACTTTGCTGAAGTTGCTTATCAGCTTAAGGAGATTTTGGGCTGAGATGATGGGGTTTTCTAGATATACAATCATGTTAACTGCAAACAGGGACAATTTGACTTCCTCTTTTCCTAATTGAGTACCTTTTATCTCTTTCTCCTGCCTGATTGCCCTGGCCAGAACTTCCAACACTATGTTGAATAGGAGTGGTGAAAGAGGGCATCCCTGTCTTGTGCCAATTTTCAAAGGGACTACAGAACAGAGCCCTCAGAAATAATACCACACATCTACAACTATCTGACCTTTGACAAACCTGACAAAGACAAGAAATGGGGAAAGGATTCCCTATTTAACAAATGGTGCTGGAAAAACTGGTTAGCCATATGTAGAAAGCTGAAACTGGATCCCTTCCTTACACCTTACAAAAAATTAATTCAAGATGGATTAAAGACTTAAAATTTAGACCTAAAACTGTAAAAACCCTAGAAGAAAACCTAGGCAATACCATTCAGGACATAGGCATGGGTAAGGACTTCATGTCTAAAACACCAAAAGCAATGGCAACAAAAGCCAAAATTGACAAATGGGATCTAGTTAAACTAAAGAGCTTCTGCACAACAAAAGAAACTACCATCAGAGTGAACAGGCAACCTACAGAATAGGAGAAAATTTTTGCAATCTACTCATCTGACAAAGGGCTAATATCCAGAATCTACAAAGAACTCAAACAAATTTACAAGAAAAAAACAACTCCATCAACAAGTGGGCGAAGGATATGAACGACACTTCTCAAAAGAAGACATTTATGCAGCCAACAGACACATGAAAAAAATGCTCATCATCACTGGCCATCAGAGAAATGCAAATGAAAACCACAATGAGATATCATCTCACACCAGTTAGAATGGCGATCATTTAAAAGTCAGGAACCAACAGGTGCTGGAGCGGATGTGGAGAAATAGGAACACTTTTACACTGTTGGTGGGACTGTAAACTGGTTCAACCATTGTGGAACACAGTGTGGCAATTCCTCAGGGATCTAGAATTAGAAATACCATTTGACCCAGCCATCCCATTACTGGGTATATACCCAAAGGAATATAAATCAGGCTGCTATAAAGACACCTGGACACATATGTTTATTGAGGCACTACTCACAATAGCAAAGACTTGGAACCAACCCAAATGTCCAACAATGATAGACTGGATTAAGAAAATGTGGCACGTATACACCATGGAATACTATGCAGCCATAAAAAATGATGAGTTCATGTCCTTTGTAGGGACATGGATGAAGCTGGAAACCATCATTTTCAGCAAACTATCGCAAGGACAAAAAACCAAACACCACATGTTCTCACTCATAGGTGGGAATTGAACAATGAGAACACTTGGACACAGGAAGGGGGACATCACACACTGGGGCCTGTTGTGGGGTGGGGGGAGGGGGGAGGGATAGCATTAGGAGATATACCTAATGTAAATGACGAGTTAATGGGTGCAGCACACCAACATGGCACGTGTATACATATGTAACAAACCTGCACATTGTGCACATGTACCCTTGAACTTAAAATATAATAAATATATATATTATATATATATATATAAATGTACAAGGAGATTAAAGTTGCTTTCATGCCTGCTAACACAACATCCATTCTGAAGTCCAAGGATCAAGGAGTAATTTTGACTTTCAAGTCTTCTTATTTAATAAATAAATTTCATAAGTTGATAGCTTCCATAGATAGTGATTCCTCTGTTGGATCTGGGAAAAGTCCATTGAAAACCTTCTGGGATGGATTTGTCATTCTAGATTCCATTAAGAACATTCATGATTCATGAGAGGAAGTCAACATATCATCATTAACAGGAGTTTTGAAGAAATTCACTCCAATCCTCATGGATGACTTTGAGGGGTTCAAGACTTCCATGAAGAAATTAACTGCAGACATGGTGAAAATAGAAAGATCACAAGAATTAGAAGTGAAGGCCTGAAGATGTTACTGAATTAATGTAATCTCCTGGTAAAACTTGAATGGACAAGGAGTTGCTTCTTATGGATGGGCAAAGAAAGTGTTTTCTTAAGATGGAATTTACTCCTGGTGAAGATGCTGTGAACATTGTTGAAATGACAACAAATGATTTAGAATATTACATAAACTTAGTTAAGAGTTTGAGAGGGTTGACTTCAATTTTTAAAGAAGGTCTAGTGTGGGTAAAATGCTATCAAACAGCATTGCATGCTACAGAGAAATCTTTTGCAGCAGCAAACTTCATTGTTGTCTTATTTTAAGAGGTTGCCACAGCCACCCCAACCTTCATCAACTACCACCTTGATTAGTCAGAAGCCATCAACATCAAGGCAAGATTCTCCAACAGCAAAATGATTATGACTCGCTGAAGGCTCAGATGATGGTTAGCAGTTTTTGGAAATAAAGTATTTTTAAAGTAAGATATGTACATTGTTGTTTTACACATGATATTATTGTACACTTAATTGACCATGATATAGTATAAACCTAACTCTTATCTGCACTAGGAAACCCAAAAATCCATGTGATTCCCCATTTTATTGAAGTATTTACTTCAATATTGAATCTACAATATATCTGAGGTATGCTTGTATATATTCTCAAAGCATCTACTGTGCCTATTATATCCTCAAAATCAGGCTAAACTCCCTCTGGAGTCTCCCCTCATCACCCTAGACACCATATTCTTGCTCTTTCAAAACATATACTTTCTTTTTTTTTGCTTATTTGTTTCAGCTTTTGCTTTTCACACAGCCATAGACTAGCCTATAATTGTCACTCTGATGAAGCTATATAGGCTGAGATTTTAATTTCAATGGAGATGGGAAAGCAAATAAATAGTAAATAAATCTAATTTAAATAAATATTACTGGAAGTTTTTATGTGATTACTCTTATGAAATGGGTTTTAAACAAACCCATGTTTGATGATTCCTCTCCTATAGGCAGCCAAATGGAGACTTTTGCTAATATCTTGGTATAGCAGAAAGGGAATGGGTTTTAGCTTCAGGGCCAAGCTCAAAAGTTGCTGCTTCAAAGAAGTTTTTCTTGACCCCCTCAGAAGGTCAGATTCTCAATTATATTGATTGAAATTGTGGCTCTGAAAGTACTCCATAATTTGTAAGGTGCTATGCAAATGCTGGTAATTATTATCTACTTTAAGACATAATCAGAAGGACACACCATGGTAAGATATGTTTTTATTTTTAACTGTTTGAAGTAGGTCTAGTTTTATTTTAGTCTAAGAAAAGGGTGAATTTTTATTCTTCTTCCCACTATTCATGACCAACCACAGGGGATCTCATTAGTGATTCAGTTGGTACTTACCACACTCCCAACTTGGCCCAAGAAGTGATGGAGTCTGAATATACACATGGCCTTAAAACAATTCAGAAATGAACTTAATGGCATTTAACAAATAATAAGCAAGTGGACAAATGCAGCCTCCTCAAACCATCTCTAATAACCCCACAAGAAAGAAGGAAAGAAGCCATCTCTATAAAAGTGCAAGGTGAAACAGCAAGTTCTGATGTAGAAGCTGCGGCAAATTAAAGAAAACAATATTTGAAATACGGGATAGTGCACTGCTCTGGGCAGATTTTGTGAATCTTAGTCCTCCAGTTAGAAAAGAGGTAGAGGTCCATGCTCTTCTGCACTTCTTGGTCTCTTGTCATAAGTAAGACATTCTGGCCCAAATTTTATTCAATTTTTAAGAGATTTTCCTAAGTATTTTAAGGTGCTGATTTTTCCTCTATTTCTTCCTCAGGGATCATGGAAGGTGATGTGGTTTGCTTGCCACATAAATTCAATTTGTCTTTAAAGCTTCTCGTCTTTAAAGCTGCTTCCTCTTACATAAAATGAAGATCAAAATCTTTATTTGACCATGTCTACCTGCTAAATGTTTGTGGCACTGAAGGAGCAAAGAAAGGGAAGATCTCCTAAGACTCCAGAGAAACACAAGGAGTCTTTATCATCAGGGGTCTTTGAAGGGAAGGAAGGTGCATGCTGTCTTAACAGATCAGCACCAAAGTTTTGAAAATCAAGTTGACACTTACAAATTAATAGCCCCATCTTGACACGCTCACTGGACAAGAACAAGTAGACACTGAAGCACTGGCTGACCCACTTGCCCCTGTCCTGTCCCACTTACTCAAAGTACCTCTTTGTGGTTTTGGACAGCTCACATTGAGAAGTGGTCAGCTTTAATTTTCTTTCTCTTGTTTCTCACACAGCCATAGACCAGCCTAAGATATAGAAGCTGAAATTTCAGTTTCAATAGCACTAGTGAGAATGAATTAATATTGAATAAATCTGATTTAAAAAATATTTCTGGCAGTTTTTATGATGATAATTCTTATGAATATGCAGCTTTAAACAAATTCACCTTTGTTGATGGTTCTCTTTCCTATAGACAGCCAAGCAGAGAGTTTTGCTCATATCTTGGCATAGGAGAAAAGGGGACAGGTTTCAGTTTCAGACAGTTCTGGATTCCAATCTTGATCAAATTACTAATTTTGTACATATGTAGCATTTAAAACGATTTTTTTTGTTAAACATTTTCGGTTGCATTTTCATATTTCATAAATCTTATTGCCTGTGGGCCTTCTTACCCTTTGAAGCAATGAATTTCAGAGCTTGGGGAGAAGCACAACACCCTCCTACAAGAACAGACCTATTGTTCGTTTTGACTCTAAAATTAGATATTTGTTTGAATCTATAAGTTAAGGGCTTAAAGCTGAGCAAAATAATATATTAATTAGGATTTGCATTTGGTTGTATGTAATGGAAACCTGGCTACTACATCTTAATAGCATTTGTTTTTCTCTGGAAAACAAACAGAGCACCACGTAGCTCTGGACTACAAAGACAAAGGCAGGTAGTCCAGAGCTACTGTGGTGGCAACTCGATGCTATTGGGACCCTGTGGTGGTCAATTTTGTGTGTCACGCTGGCTAGGCAAGAGTGCCCAGTTATTCAATCAAACACTAATCCAGGTTGCTGTGAAGGTAATTTGTAGATATGATTGAATTCACTTTAAGGAAGGAAATTATCCTAGATAAGCTGGGTGGGATTGTTTTAAACCATCTAAAGGTCTTAAGAGCAGAACTGATGCTTTGCTGAAGAAGCCTCATTCCACCTATGGACTACAGTTTTATCCTGTGCCCCTGAGTTCCAGCCTGCCCTTCCTGATGGCCTGCCCTACAGATTTCAGACTTGCCTAGACAGCCCCCACAATTGTATAAGCCAGTCTCTTGCAATAAATCTGCCTGTCTATCTGTCTATCTATCTATCTATCTATCTATCTATCTGTCATCTGTATATCTATCTATCTGTATATCTATCTATCTATCTATCTATCTATCTATCTATCTATCTATCTATCACTCATCTCCCACTGGTTTTGCTTATGGTGGGACCATGATTGATACAGACCTAGATTCCTTTTAGCTTTCCCTGTCACTATCCTTAGTGCTTGCAAGTGGTTACCGCAACACTAGGCATTGTGCCTATATACTTGGCAGAAGTAAGGGGAAAGGAAAAGGGCATAAACCAAAAAATGAACACCAACCAAGTCTGTGTCTTTCTAAAAAGGAAAACCCTATTCAGCAACTTCCACTCATATCTCCTTGGCAAGGACTGGGTCACGCGAGCAGCTCTAGTAACCTGTGAGTCAGGGAGAAGGAGAACACTTTGAAATGGGCACACTGTGGCTCTAAATAAAATGGGGATCTATAGTAAGGAAAATGGGGGTATTGGTTCAGCAACCACAGAGATTTTCTAAGTTCCCATATCATATTAAGAAACAAACCTGAACAACTTGGATCACTGAGTTTCTTCTATAATTGTAAAATGATTACTCCTTCCACCTGTGGCAGCTGGGTCTGGAAGCTTACTGCCTTGAGGGAGAAGCATGTATGTTTAGGAAGTAAGAACCCTGAAAGTTCATCTCTTCTGGCTCCAGAGTTTCTGGGAAGCAGAACTGAGAAGGAGATAGGAGAGGCAAATGGAGTGTGCCCTGACTTCCCTCTGTGCCTCAGCCCAGCATGGGGAAGGCTGGTAGGTGTTAGGTGAGTGATGTTGGGGAAGGAGTCATTCTTCTTGGCTTTCTATTTGGCACTCTGAAAAAAGGTGCAAAGCAAACTCAGACGAGTAGAGAGGCAGAGGGAGAAACAGAATTTGGCTTTTCAAAGCCACTTCTATTTTCTGTGATGAGGTGCCCCAAATTTCCCACATGACTCTGAGGAGGCATGGAAAGCCATTGAGTTGAGAAGCAGTAAACTTTCCATAGGACCCTCCAGCAAGGGGTGAGAGCCAGGTACAGGACAGAGACCAGGGCAGAGACTGGAGGTGATGTATCTGTGGCACTTGAGAGGTCAGAGAGAAGACTGAATTAGTAAGCATCCCAGGCCCTCATAAAGCTGAGAGGCTGGGGGAAATGAGAGGGTGGGGGAAAGAGGGAGAGATACCAGAGAGAGAGAAGAGGAGAGAGAGACCTGAGTTGCCCAGCTGCAGCCCTAGCAGCAGGGGACAGGTCAATGCCCAGGAATACAGGCTGTTGCCAACAACAGTGGAAATAGCCAGCCCAAATAGCAGCTCTGAATGGCCCCTCCACAGAAGAAGGCACTAGTGACCTGAGGGCCTGCCTTTCTACTCTGCTGCCTTTGGCCTGCCTCTCAAACACCAATATACAGAAGATAAAGAGAAGAGGGCCAAAATATGAGAGACTCAGTACATTTTACCTAACAAGAGCCAAACAATAACCCAAAAGGACTTTAAATTATTGCATAGGATATAAGTATAGCTGACCGGATTATAGTCTTTGTCCTATAACTACTACCCTAAGTCACTACTGAGTAAATAGAGACTCATTAATAGTTAAACTCATGAGAGTTAAGGAGAAAATGAGTTGTATTTCTTTGCATATCTGAATCAGAGTGTGATTTTGCAACTCCCCTATGTGTAAAATGAAGACAATACTTTTTGTGAGAGGTGGTTGGGAAAATAAAAATGAAATCTTGTTCCTTCTATGAAGAGCAGCTAAGAGTGATATGCTTAATATGTTAGCTTAATTTCAATTACCCGTGCCCACTGCCCACTGGTGAGCAGGCTCTATGTAAAGCAAGGCTTCCTGTATCCTTGGGGTGGTGAGAAAAGGAAGGCATTCAGGAGCGGATCTCATCATGAGCAGATTGTTACATTTTCTACCCCAAATCCTCTCCACTCCAATCACCCATATTGTTATATTGCCTCCTCTCTTTTCTGTCATTGCATCAATATATTGTTTGGGTATGTTTATATGTTTATTGTACATCTCTAGGAGGGGAAGGGCCATATCTGACTTCTTTGAAACTCAGGTACATGGTAGCCATGTAATAATTAATTGGTTAATGATGTAATTACTTCCCTGGGGCCCTAGAAACCCCATTTTTGCACATCCAATGTGGCCAATCCATATGTAGGTACATTTTTGATCCAAGAGGAAAATAGTTTATAGAATATACTTCTTTCTGCAATCACTGTCTGTTAATGCATTTGCTAATTTCATTTTACTTTTCAAACCCAATGGATTATTAGCATTTTAATAAACATCAAATTTAAAATATTTGTGAATCAGGACTCAAATATATGATCTATTTAGTCTTTTTAGTAAAATACCAGTATTTTCTTATAAAACAAAACCATAAAATACCATGTCCAATAATTCTATATCCTAACCTTGCTTTCATTATGTTTTCCAAGCCTTTTCTTCACTCTTAGTGTTGTTGGAGAGTTCCAGGGAGGAGTGAAGCTTCTCTCACCTATGACCCATTGTATTTTGTGGGAAATAAATTCTAGGATGGTTTTTCAAAGTATTTCTTCCAAAAAACATGTGTGCTGTGGGCTGAATGTTGGTGCCTTCCCCAAATTTATATGTTGGGACCTAGTACCCAATGTGATGGTATTGAGGAGTGGAGCCCTTTGTAAGTGATTAAATTATGAGGGCCCCAGCCTCATGAATGGTATTAGTACCTTTATAAAAGAGGCTGAAGCTAGCTTCCTTGACCATTCCACTATGTGAGAACACATAAAAAGTGCCATCTATGAAGAACAGGCCCTCATAAGACACCAAATCTGCTGGCACATTGGTCTTAAACTCCCCAGCCTCCAGGGCTGGGAGCAATAAATTTATATTTATAAATTATGCCGCTTAAGGTATTTTGTTATAGTAGCCTAAAAGAACTAAGGAAGAAATTCATATGAAGAAGCATGGTACTTCTGTAAGAAATACCTAAAAATGCAGAAGTGGCTTTGTAACTGGGTAATGGGTAGAGGCTGGAAGAATTTGAAGGACCATGCTAGAAAAAGTATATATATTTAAGGGGAATTTTGGCTAGTGCTCAAAAGAAGAAGAGCACTTCAGAGAAAGCCTTAACCTTCTTAGAGATTACCTAAGTGGTTATGATCAGAATGTTGGGCGAAATATAGATGGTAAAGGCCATTCAATGAGGTCTGAGACAGAAATGAGGAACAAGATATTGGAAACTAGTGGAAAGGCAATTCTTGTTATAAAATGGCAAAGAGCTTGGCTGAATTGCATTTATGTCCTAGTGCTTTGCAGCAGGTCAGAACACTTGAGCAATATAACAAGATATTTGGCAGAAGGAATATCTAAGTGAAATTTTGAGGACACTGCATGTCTTCTCTTGACTGTTTATAGCAAAACGTGAGAAGAAAGAAATGAATTAAAGAAGGAATTTATAGTCAAAAGGGAAGCAGAACTTAAAGGCTTGAAAAATTCTTAGCCTGGCCATGTTGTAAAGACTGCAAAAGCATGCTCGGGAAAGAATGCCAGGGATGTGCCCAAGTGCCCATCTGATAAGAAAATTATTGTGGATGGGTGGAAGCCTGGTGCAACTCATCAAGACGATGGAAGAATGACCCCCAAGGCATTTTGAAGATCTTTAGCACTGTCCTGCCTATCACGTGCCCAGAATGCTAAGGCCTTAAGAGCAGAATGATTTCAAGGCTCCACTCTTCACATTTCAGTGCAGTGCTTCTTGACCACCCCAGCCGTCACTCAAGTGGGCCCAAGTGCAGATCAGGTTGCCCCTCCAAAAGGCACAAATGGTAAACCTTAGCTGTGTCCATACAGAGCCATTTTCACCATGCTGCAGGATGCATGAGCTGTGGGAGTGTGGCTACATCCACCTAGATTTCAAAGGATGCCCCCGGAAACTTGAGGCCCAGGCAAAGAACTGCCACAGTGGTAGAGCGGCTCCAGAGGGCCCCACTAGGGCAATGCCCAGTGAAGCCATGGGAGCAGGTCCACCCCAAAGACCCCGGACTGATAAAGCCACCAGCATTCAATTTCAGCCTGGAAGAGCTATAGGCATGAGACTCCAACCTGTGAGAGTTGCAGCATGGGTTAATGTCGTGGGCTGGAGCCCCCTTCGGGCCTTGGAGGGCCAACCTCCCACTCCACTCTGTCCAGAGGTGAGGCTTTGAATCAAAGAACTTTATTCAGGCCAGGTTCAGTGGCTCATGCCTGCAATTCCAGCACTTTGGGAGGCCAAGTTGGGAGGATTACTTGAGCCCAGGAGTTAGAGACAGCGGTCAGCTATGACCATGCCACTGCACTCCAGCCTGGGCATCAGAGTAAGACCCTGACTCCTAAAAAAGAAGAAGTTTATTCTAAAGCCTTAAGATTTAATGTTTGCCTGATTGGGTTTTGGGTTTGGTAGGGACCTATTACTTATTTCTTCTTTCCTATTTCTCTCTTTGAAGGGGGAGTAACTATTCAATGCCTGACCACCATTCTATTTTAGAAACACATAACATGTTTAATTTCACAGGCTCACAACTGGAGAGCAATTTTCTTCAGGATGAATCATACCTTGAGTGTCATCTATATTTGATTTAGATGATATTTAGATGAGACTCTGGATTTAGGACTTTGGAGTTGGTGCTGGAACAACACCAACTATTGTCTGGGGCTCTTAGGATGGAATGAATGTATTTCACGTATGAGAAAGACATGAATATTGGGGGCCCAGGGTGGAATGGTATGGTCTGAATGTTTGTGTCCCCCCCAGAATTCATATGTTAGAATTTAATACCCAGTGTGACCACATTAAGAAGTGGAGCCCTTGGGAAGTAATTAAGTAATGAGGGCTTCATCCTCGTGAATGAGATCATCGTCCTTATAAAAGAGGCTTGAGCAAACTTCCTTGCCCCCTTTCACCTTGTGAAGACACAGCAAGGAGGAAGCAGAGAGCAAGCCCTCAGCAGACATCAAACCTGCTGACACCTTGATCTTGGGCTTCCCAGCCTCCAGAACTATGAACAACAAATTCCTAATGTTTGTATATTACTCAGTCTAAGGTATTTTGTTATAGCTGTGCAAACAGACTAAGACAATGTGTGTGTATGCATGTGTGTGCTTTATATACAGAGACACACACTTATTTGCATGTGTGTTTTATCTACATAAAATTGGCACCTATATTTACCAGGCACACACATATGTATGTATTTGCCATATATGAAGGGGAATCATAGAGTCATAAAGGCAAAAACAGAGGCTCCTCAACACTGTCAGTCCAATTCCTTTGTTTAGAGTTGTAGAAACTAAAGCCCAGTGAGGTCAAGTGACTTTTTGGAGATCAGACATTCTGTGAATGCTGGAGGGGGCTTCTCATGCAGAGATCCTGACTTTGGTTGAGAGCCCTTTGCAGGACCCAGGCTGCCTTCAGTCAATGTGTCTCCCATCTGGCTGGGAATTGGGTCCACATGACCAGCCTAGACATGCACCACTCATTTAAGGACCATGATGAGAAGGCTCAATTTATTGAACCCTATCAGTGAGAGAGCTCATTTGACACCTTGTCCATCCACAGGAGACTTTTCACCATAATCTCCTCTAAGCCTCATTGTTATTACATCAGGAAATTGGAAAAGATCTTGTGCCAAAAATGCTATGCTGAAATTATAAAGCCAGATAGAGCCGCTGATGGAGGGTGTCTGTGGGAGAGAGGGAGCCACATGGAGAGAAGGGGCTAGGGAGAGGAGAACAGGCATAGTGATGGAGAAATGAGAAGAGAGATGATGAAAGAGCCCATGAGAGACTAGAAACGGGAGCAGAGAGAGGCAGTGAAACAAGGACGAGATACAGAAACAGAGGATAAAAGAGGAGGGAGCAAGAAAAAACAGAGGAAAGGTGAAGGCAGAGATGCCTTCAGGATGTCCAAAAGTCGGAAGATGGAAAATAAGATGATTTTTAAACAGCATACTAGTTAAATTTTCAAGCAATATGGTCAATCTACTTTTCTTTAACCTCAGATACCTTTTCAGATGAAGTAACTCCATATTTAAAACATTAGGCCAACTATTAATCTAAAAAGCTCAAATAAACACACTATTTTCTTTGTATTTTCAGGATTTTTGTAGTATACTGACACCTTAGAAAGAGACAGTGAAGAGAGGAGAAAAGGGGAAAGAAGAGAGAAGAGGAGCCTGGGAGAGGGAAAACGAGCTAGAAACAAGATATAGAGGCAGATTCAGAAACTTGAAGAAAGAGTGGCAGAAGAGCGTGCTTATGCACCTGGACTGAGGCATATACAATACGCTCTGCAACTTGTCCTCAGAGGTGAAGAAGGCAGGAGGTCTGTGACAGGAAATCCTAGAAAAGCAACAGCCATGTGTTCTCATTGTTCAACTCCCACTTAAGAATGAGAAAATGCAGTGTTTGGTTTTCTGTTCCTGTGTTAGTTTGCTGAGGATGATGGCTTCCAGCTTCATCCATGTCCCTGAAAAGGACATGATCTCATTCTTTTTTATTGCTGCATAGTATTCCATGGTGTATATGTACCACATTTTCTTTATCCAGTCTATCCTTGATGGGCATTTGGGTTGGTTCCATGTCTTTACTATTGTAAATCGTGCTGCAACAAACATACGTGTACATGTGTCATTGTAGTAGAATGATTTATATTCCTTTGGGTGTATACCCAGTAATGGGATTGCTGGGTCAAATGGCATTTCTGGTTCTAGATCCTTGAGGAGTTGCCACACTGTCTTCCATGATGGTTGAACTAATTTACATTCCCACCAACAGTGTAAAAGTATTCCTATTTCTCCACAGCCTCGCCAGCATCTACTGTTTCCTGATTTTTCAATAATCACCATTCTGACCGGTGTGAGATGGTATCTCATAATTTTGACTTGCATTTCTCTAATGATCAGTGATGTTGAGCTTTTTTTCATGTTTCTTGGCCACAGAAATGTCTTCATTTGAGAAGTGTCATTCATATCCTTTGCCCACTCATTGATGTTTTTTTTTTCTTGTAAATTTGCATAAGGTCCTTGTAGATTCTGGATAGTAGACCTTTGTCAGATGGATAGATTGCAAAAATTTTCTCCCATTCTGTAGGCTGCCTGTTCACTCTGATGATAGTTTCTTTTGCTGTGCAGAAGCTCTTTTGTTTAATTAGTTCAAGGGGGAGTTGAACAATGAGAACAGAGAACACTTGGACACAGGGAGGGGAAAACACACCGGGGACTGTCGGGGGGTTGGGGGCAGGGGGAAGGAGAGCATTAGGACAAATACCTAATGCATGTGGGGCTTAAAACATAGGTGATGTGTTGATAGATGTAGCAAACCACCATGGCACATGTATACCTATGTAACAAACCTACACTTCTGCACATAAATCCTGGGAGTTAAAGTAAAATTTTAAAATTAAAAAAAAAGAAAAGCAACAGTCAAGTGAGTTTCCTGGGTGAGATGATTTAAGTGGAGGTGGAGGTGGAGTTAGGACTGTGAATTGCGGGGACATGGGGAGCTCTCTTTTAAAGAATGGATTGGAGGGTTCTTTCCTATGAATGAATCTGAAGAAAGAAAGAAAGGTCTCTTTTTTTCCACCTTGATTATTTATGCTATAAGTTAAGGAGGTGTTATAGACTGATTTGTTTTCCCCAAAATATGTATGTTGAGGCCTTAACATATATTTGGAGATAGAGCCTTTAGGAAGTCTATTAAGGTTAAATGAGGTCATAGGGTGGGGTCCTAGTCTGATGTCCTTATAAGAAGAGGAGGAAACACCAGAGATTCAATCTCTCTCTCTTTCTGTGTTTGTGTGCACATGCCTGTGCAGATAGTACAGGCCATGTGACTATCACATTCATTTTACAGGCAGGCAAATGTTGCTTCTTTTTAGATTCAGTTTCCTGAAAGTCCCACATCAGGTAAGTAGCACAGCCTGAACTTGTGTCTTCTGACTGTCTTCCATGCTGACTTCAGCCAAAAATCCTTCTTCTTTAAAAGGAAGAAGTTAAAACCTACTTGGAGTTACCACTTGTTTGAATCTATCTGAAAAATAAAACGTGCTCTTTCAGGGCTCAATGCGATCACAGCCAGGAATTTTTGGCAAAGATTTTTATTATCACAATATGTTCTGCTCTGCTAATGGGTTGATGGAGATGGTGAAGCATGACATCAATCCATAATGCATGGGGGGATGTGGAGAGTAAGAGGAAGGGTAAGCAGAGCCCCTTTGGAAATAGGGACACCATGTGAACCACTGGAAGACTGGAAGTTACACTAAACAGAGAGGACGACTGCTGAAGTCCTGGAACTTAAGAGAAATCCAATACTGGAGCTACAAGGCAGAATAATTTAGAAATTTGGGGCGAGAAAAATTGAAAACGACAACTGATACAGGAAAATGTCTTTGACCTGGACAATAAAATAAAATTAGCCTGCACTGCATGTTGGAAATGCAGGGTTTTAAAGAAAGAGAATTTTGGCAATGATTAGTGACTTAACTTTATGCAAAGGAAAAATTCAATCACACATTGATACAAATACTTTTCCCTTTGACTCCTGGGGTGAAAGTTTCAAAATGCATTTATTAAACACCTGTCTACCATAGCAGTGGCCCAATCAAAAATGTTTCCTTCTGTTGGCTTTTTATCTTTGTTTTTGTACTGTTCCTCATCCCTCCATCCTAGATTCACTTTCTATGTAAACTACCTGCATACAAGACTTTGTCTCAGATTCTGCCTTTGGGGAAATGCAGGTTAAGATAACTGGTTACATGAGAGGTCCCAGAATGCACACCTTCAGGGTGAGTTTCTTGAGCCTTGATTGTTAGACTCTGCTGGATTAAAGGTTCCAGTTCCCAAGCTGGGGACACTTATATCAGGAGACACAGTAAGGTATCCACTAAACTTCAAACTGTGTGTCCACCTGGTCATCTGGGCTCCTCATCATTTTATCAATGGTAAAAAAGGGAGTTGCTGGACTGGAGAGGATAATGGACCCTGAATATGAAGAGGAGTTAGGGTTAATACCTTAAAATAGAGGCAGGGCTGAGTATGTCTGGAACTTAGTGGAATCAATAGGATAATTCTTGATATTTCCATGCATGGTCATAATAGTGAACAGGTGACTGAAGCAACCACGCACACAAGAGCAGCCAAGCGCTCAGGGCCCTTTAGGGATGAAATTCTGAGGCATCCATCAGGAAAGCAGTCTAGGCCAGCTGAAGTATTGGCTGGGAGTGAGGGAAATCTCTAGAGGGTGTTGGAGGAGGGAGATGAATGCTAATGAAGGCTTGGGACAGCTGTGGCTGTGACTATCTAGCTTCCCTTGTAGAACAGCAGCTAGGCACCTCCTTGGAGGAGGTGATCTTAATGAAAAGCACAAGCAGTCTGAGTGTGGCTAAGGATGGACCATATTAGAAGCCTCCTAAGAACCACTTCAAACCTTCCCAGCACAGTGTTATTTTAACCAACAAAGCCAGGAAATGTCCAAGTGTGAATGCATTAATTCCCATGGGGTTACCCTTGGCCAGTGGAATTGAGAGCCAATGAATATGTTCTTCCTCCTTTCACCACCCTGGGAGAAGAGTTCTGAGATGCTTTCTGGAAGGTTCCTTAGGAGTCCTCATAGGATCAAGCATCCCTCTGCCACAGTGGTGACCAGCTCAGTCATGCATCCTCATATTGCTTTTCTCTCTGTGTTGCATTTGCCCTGCTCTTCACACCTGCTTCCAGGAATCACTTCCCGAATGAACTATCTGCACACAAGCTTTGTCTCAGTGGCTGCTTTTGGGGGAATCTATCTTAGGACAATGTAGCTTTGGAGTCTGTGATTGCATCAGGTAATTAATCTAACAATACTATTTGCAGTAAATAATATATCATTTGATTTTTATTTATTTGTTTTGGAAACTGCCTTTTGATTATGGAACATTCAATTATTCACATTTATTATTGCACTTGTAGTTTTGAAAAGTGTGTTTTTCTTGAATTATTTCTTGCTCTGTATTGTTATCACCAGATGTTTGCCTTCCTATTTCTGGTTCTCAGAGTAATGACATTTGGGGTTTTTCCTAAAGGGCTGAGGATGCCTATGAAATGGCTAATGCCAAAGTGGGTGAGTAATTGCTTGCATTTGCTGTGAGTATTTTTCCCTGTCTGTTGCTTACTTTCTAAATTAGTATGTTTTTTAAAATATCAGTCTTATATTTAAATGATTAATAATAGAGAATGGTTAAGGAGATTGGACTATATGCACTAAAATAAATAATACTAGTTCCTAAGACTACAATTATTACCAAAAATATATGAAAAAAAGACAAACTGTATTATATTGAATGCAATAACTACAAAAAAAAGACTGATAGTGACTCTTCCAAGATGCTAATAACTACAGTATTGTAGTCTTGGGCTCAAGGACAAAACTATTTTGAAAATCTTACCTAATGCTGTTACATTTTAAAAAATTAAAAATAAATAAGTTAAACACACACAATTTTTGGTGTTAAATAAACTGATGTAATTCAAATGTCATTAAGCCTGTCTTTTCCATGCAGTTGGTAACATGCAGGGCTTTGTTCTTTCATTTGGAAAAAGTCACACTTTATTAATAATAACAACCCAATCTCTTGAGAGATTGCCGAGCAAAGGCACAGGGCTTTGGAATGCTGGGCCCTGCCCCTGCTTTCAGGATATTTGGAGAACATTTCCCTGGAAGCTACAGGAACACTGAGTTTGCTTTCTTTCAATGGCCTCCTCAAACACATGTAACTTACAGGAGCTTAAAGACTTACATTTGTAAAAGCCATTAGCATCGATTAATGTAGACAAATGATTGAAATTGGGACACTGGGAGGTGCAACTCCACACCTTGTACCATTTATGGGCAGGAAATGAGGAACAATTAGGTTGGTGAGGCTGGAAAACAGCCCTCCAGTCCTGCCTGCATGGGGTCAGCTTCAGGAAAGCTCCATGGGGGTGTAATGGGAAAAGGGGCCAGGGCCAGGACAGCGACAGATGGGAGCAACAGGCTGCAGTTATGGCCAAAGCAGATTTCTCAGCTCAGCCACCCCATATTCAATGTTGCTTATAACAATGATGACAACTTAAATTTGTTGGCTCTTTACAAATAGTTTTGGGTTCTTACAACCATCTTGGAAGTATACTCATGTAGTTGTGGATTTGCTCGTCCATTTTTTTCTGTCAATAAATATTTTCTGAGCATTTAATCTGCTCGGGGGATCACACGGTAAAAAAGATGATCACATCATCTTTACCTTCATAGAAGTTACAGTCTAGGCAATTTCTAGGTAGTATGGTAGCAAACGAAGTCTATGGGAGCACACAGGACAGCTCTTAAATCCCGTCTTGGGTGTTCTGAAAGGCTTCTCTTGGGAGGTGAGGTCCAAGGCAAGACATGATGGTAAACATAAATGCTCGTTTCAACAATGAGAAAATTGATTTAGAGTTTAAGCAACTCTCATGCCATCCAAAAACAAAGTGGAAGCCAACTTTGGTTTCAAAGTCAAAGTAACATAAACACATTATTTTCTAATGGGAACTGACTCACTTATATGCCCAATGCTTTTTAAAAGCATTTTATTTTTCATTGAACTATTTGTGAAAAGTTATATTTTATACCTTCCGCTTAAGCAGTGTAGGAACTAGATGGCTCTAAATTCTTCATACATTTTTTTTCTCAGAAACATTTAATGGGAACTTATGAACAGAAGCCTTGTCTGTGTCTTGGGCAGCAGCAAGACACGATGAGGGATCCCTGTGCCATTATCCTCCCAGACCCAGAGCTTATGTTCCATAAGGGAGGGGTGGTTCAGAAAGGACGTGTAGGACAATTGAAGTACATATGATAACATCAAGGTTGTTTGACCTAAGGGCAGGAGTTAAGGTAAGTGCTTGCTCTTACACAAGAAACAATAGATAAACTGGAAATCTTAGAGGCCTTCCTGGAACAGCGGCTGATCAGAAGCCAACTTGGTAGATTAGCTTTCAAGATAGAGTTGTTTCAGCCTCCACATTCCACCTCCCTAATCTGGCTCTTACCATCTCATGCACCCTTCTCTTTCGCAATGGTCCCTGGGCCTTTAGGGAGGGTGCTTGGTATTGAAAACAGAATCTGATCTAGGCCCAGTGGGATTGGAGGAGATTCACAGGTTTTGCTGAATCATCTCTAGTCCTCAGAGTACCATGATTTTGGTTTTCTCCAAAATAAAACAATGAGAGATACATAACATTGATAATTTGAATAGTAGAACTATAATGCATACAAAGATTGTGGTCAAAAAAGAATTTGTATGTCATCCATTAAGCAGCATGAGGAAAAGTAAAACCCAGCTCTCTTTTAGAGAAGACTTCTTGTAGCCAGGCAAGAATTCAGGATTTAGCTCAAATTGTAGGCAAATAATAAAAACTTAACACAATGGTCAGGGCTAGAATCTAAATTTTTTTCTCCTGTAGTTTCTCTACTTTTACCAAGAATAAATTATAATAGGACTAATTTATTTTCAAAATAAATTTTAGTCTCTTTATACCTGGTCTGCTTACTTGCATAAAATGTAGCAAGAATAGCGATCAGCCATATAGACTCCTTTTAAGTTGGCTTTGCTGGAACTTTTAAATTATCTTATAACAATTTATTCAAATATACACTAATCAAATAACTACAATGCACTTTGCTTCACCCTAAAGGGCATACAAGCAAATTCTATAATGTCCTTGTGTTCCAGGGATTTACAATCTTGGGGAGGTTGAGACAAGAATTAGAACAGAATTTCTCAAATTGTGCTTTGTGAGATGTACAAGTAAGAAATTCCTTCTGAGCATGATTGAAATATTTTAAAATACCTAATAAGGAGGTGTAATATTGAGTAAGGCCTTAAAGTGGGTGGCAGGGGGCAGGATCACCCTTGTAAGCAAGCATTTGTGTAACACGATATTACTTTGAGATACTACATTTTGAATTTTATTTTCAATGTGGTGCTTTATTGTGATAAGGCACTGTATCGGCTGTTGGGTTTTTCTTTTTCCTCATCATCAACTATCTCTATTCAATATCCATTTTCCTATCAGCTAGTTAATATAAATGTACTGCTAATTTGATGCTTAAAACTGTGTTTGGACTGGAAAAATTGATAACTCATTGAAGCATATGGTAGATTAGATAAAAGTTCAAAACAGTCTAAGCAAAGGCATAACACAGGGATCATTAGTTCAAAAGCGCAAAAAAAAAAAAGAAGTGGCTGAGCATACAGCAACAGGAAATCTGGGCACAGATGATGCACTGGGAAGCATGTGCCCTTTTTAAATGGGGAATGCTGTTACTTAGTACCAGTGGATTGTGGCCAGGTAGGAATAGGTTCAAAGAGTTGCTAGACTTTCTGATTTCCCAAAGGAAGCTGAGAATCTAGAATTTTGTGTGTGTATAATCTGCAAAATTTTAAATGTTGGCACTAAATCACCGGTTTAAAATATAGCATACGAAACAATTACAGTTAAACTAATCTGCAGTTTGGATCCTACCTACGGGCCAAATGGCCCAATAATAATAACAACAACTAAACTAACTTTTTGAGCACATTTTTAAGTGGCTTATTCATATAGGTCATTTAATTCTCACAATAAACCTTTGGAAGAAGGGATGAAAGTGTTGCCCATTTTACAAATGAAGAAATGAGATACAAAGAAGTGAAGTAATTTTGCGAGGATACTCAGGTAGCAAGTGGCGTGGCCAGCCTTCCATCCAAGGCAGTATGACTCCAGAATTTGTATTCATAAGTGCTATACTATACTGTTTCTCAACATGAATGGCTTTTGCACAAGGATTCCATGCCAATTATTTATTTGTTTGTTTGTTTTGAAACAGGATCTCACTCTGTTGCCCAGGCTGGAGTGCAGTGATGCAATCATAGCTCACGGCAGCCTCAATCTCCCTGGCTCAAGCAATCATCCCACCTCAGCCTACCAAGTAACTGGGACTACAGGCATGTACCACCATGCCCAGCTATTTTTTAAAATTATGATTTGTAGAGATGGAGTCTCACTAGGTTGTCCAGGCTGGTCTCAAACTCCTGAGCTCAAGTGATCCTCCCATTTCAGCCTCCTGAAGTGCTGGGATTACAAGTGTAAAAATTATAATAATTTTCATTATAATTTTGTTCCAGATGGTAAGGATGTGAAGGGTTAAACTTTAAAGACTTTGATTATGGCATGCAAACTCACTTATCAAGTTTATTTTTCAGTATTGCCAAACTATAATACCAAGATCAAAGGACATTGGAAGTATAAAGTTTAAGCCCTTGCTCCTTTATTGATCTATTGGCTGAGTGACCTTGGAAAACTTATTAACCTGACTTAGTCTTGGCTTTATCATATAAGCAAAGAGAATGATGAAAAATATCCTGCAGGGTTGTTATGAGGAATAGTAATAATGTGTGAAAAATACTTGCTTCAAATAAATGTTTAATTATAGACATTATAATGACAATATTAATTTGGAGGGAGTGTATTTAACTAATACATTTAAGGCACTATCTTGTGGAGAATCAAAATTCCTATATAGTTCCTGCTGTAAGAGAGTAGAGAAGTCAAGTCGTTAAAGGAGTTGAGGCACCTGTATCAATTGTGATAAGATAAGATTCTACTAAGAAGTACGCAGCTGACAGTGATATATGTAGGGGAGATTAATATCCACTGGAGAAGACAATGAAACCTACTTGGAGGAAGTGGCATTCAAGCTGGGTTTTTAAAAGGTGAGAAAGCCTTGGGCAAGAGGACTTGAAATTAGCAAGTCTCAGATGAACTGGGCTAGCATGAACAGAGGGGCACCAAGATGAGATAGACTGTGCCTGAAATATAAATTAGTTTACTGAAACCAGAGAGCAGGATGTGTAGAAGGCACATGTGCAGAGAGTTCTGTAGGACTAGCGTTCAGGTTCCACCAACAGGTAGCAGTGTTGTTAATGACATACAAGGCCAGAGAAGGTCTGTGTTTGCACATTCTCTAGGCTGTAAAGGGAAATACAGGGGACAGCTGGCAAGCATGAGAACTAGAGGTGAGAAACTTCATTTCCTGTCCAATCGAGGTTCACTGGCTTGTAGAGAAGGAATTCAGTTGGAAAGCCAGATGATCTCATATAAAAACAGGAGGGAGATATGTGGAATCAGAAGATATCTATAAAACAAGTTGAAAATTGGGAGTGGTGGAAGTATCTACTCAAAGGAACCATTTGAAATCAATTGTCTCAACCTAAACCTTCAGGACTTTTCTACGAGCAGAATGGAATGTTCATCTGGAGTATTGTCTTTTCAGAATTAAGAGTGTGGCAAAGCAAATAGACTGTTATATGGTAGGAGGAGGGCAGCATGTGAAGTCACTCACACTGGGGTCAAGGTCTGGGTCTTCTCCTGACTCACTGTAAGAACCCAACAAGTCATTTGTCTTACAGCTCCAGTTTCCTTATCTATACAATAAACATAATTATATTTACCATTTTTATTGATAGTGTAATAAAGCATTGATGAGGATATGTTTAAATGAGATATGGTATAGTGATGCAGTGTAGCATTGCCTGCAACTGTGTGAACTCCTCATCTATTCTCATTGGTCTATAACCTCAATGTGGTGTCTCTGATTAGTATAGTGTCCTGACATCTGTCCGTCACCTCTTTCCAATTTCCTTCAGGCCACACCCTATTTCTGCATCCTCCCAATATGTCCTTTCAAATTCTACCCAACCAGGATGAGGATAGACAAGCACAGGCAAAAGCAGCATGGTATGGTGGAAGGAACAAGGGATTCCAGCCCAAAGTCATTGATTCTTAACTCTGGCTCTACCAATTATTGAATGGCTTTGGGCATATTGCCTTTGGAGCCTCAACTTCCTCATCTGGAAAAAAAAGGATGAAGAAATGAGACAAGATATATGAGAGTATTGGATATAGTCCTGGAACTTAGTGTATGCATAAAGACCAAAAGGAGTAAACCAAACAAATCTTGGTGCCGGAGTTGGGGAAGTGGTGAACCAAGACCACAGAGGCTATCTCAGAATGACAGAAGGTGAGGAAGGCAGGAGATAGGGGTTTACCAAAGCTTCAGGAGCAGATAATGACAGTCCTTGTGTGATTTTGCTGACAGAATATGAGGACTTGTTTCTCCATCCCACCTGTACATATATGTAAGCCAGCCAGGGGCTCCCAGATAGAGAATAGAATTGTTTTCTCTTCCTCAAACACCTCCTGCATTTTTAATATTCTTTCTCCATTATTTCCCCATTCTCTCCACCCGCAATTATTTTCTTCTATATTTGACTGTCCACTTCTTTTGCTGAAAAGCAGCCCCGCTGGAGCTGAAAGTTGAGTCTTATTTTTTATGGTGTCTCCTATGTTCTTCCCACATCTCCTAACCTACTTCCATGTATGTGGTACTTTATCAGGAGATTTTTTTTTTTCCTTAGGGCATGTGTATTAGTGAGGGTTCTCTAGAGGGACAGAACTAGTGGGATAATGTATATACAAAGGGGAGTTTATTGAGGAGTATTGACTCACACAATCACAAGGTGAAGTTCCACAATAGGCTGTCTGCCAGCTGAGATGCAAGGAAGCCAGTTCAAGCCCCAAAATCTCAAAAGCAGGGAAGCCGACAGTGCAGCCTTCAGTCTGTGGCCAAAGGCCTGAGAGCCCCTGGCAAACGACTGGTGTAAGTCCAAGAGTCCAAAAACTAAAGAACTTGGAGTCTGATGTTCGAGGCAGGAAGCATCTAGCACGGGAGAAAGATGAAAGCTGGAAAACTCCGCAAGTCAGCTTCTTCCAACTTCTGCCTGCTTTTTCTAGCCACACTGACAGCTGATTGGATAGTGCCCACCCACACTGTGGGTTGGTCTTCCTGATGGTGGGTCTTCCTCTCCGAGTCCGCTGACTCAAATGTTAATTTCTTCTGGCAACACCCAGAAACACACAAATAAACCCACTTAATTGACACTTAATATTAACTATCACAGCGTGGATAAAAAAATAGGTGTTAAGAGTTAGAAAAGAACTTAGATAATCTTTCTAGTCCAGTGTGACTATTTCTTAAACTAACATCCACGAACTATAGATGGACTTCTGTGAACCACTTGAAAATATAGGTAAAATGTGTGTAAATATGAATGTCCATTTTTTTTTCTAGGTAGAATATTCATAGCTTTTCTCATATTTTCAAAGTAGAACATGATTCATAAAATGATAAGAATTTACCCTTTTACTTTATAAATAAAGTGTCAGGAAAGTACATATTTTGGTTAAGGTAATATAGGGACTAAAATGCTGATAGAGCTAGGAGAAGGAACAAGACTTACTGTTTTTCCTCCCAGAAGCCTTGAAAAGTGTATTAGGCCATTTTCATATTGCTATAAAGGAATACCCAAGACTGGATAATTTATAAAGAAAAGAGGTTTAATTGGCTCATGGTTCTGCAGGCTGTACAAGAGGCACAGTGCCATCTGCTTCTGGGAGGCCTCAGGTAGCTTCCAATCATGGTGGAAGGCAAAAGGGAGGAGGCACATCACATGGAAAAAGTAGGAGCAGGAGAGAAGCAGGAGATGCCACACACTTTTTAAATAACCAGATCTTGTGAGAACTCACTCACTATCATGAGAACAGCACCAAAGGGATGGTGCTAAACCATTCATGGGATATCCACCCCCATGATCCAATCACCTCCCACCAGGCCCTACCTCCAACACTGGGAATCACAATTCGACTTGAGATATGGGCAGGGACACAGGTCCAAACTATATCAACAAGTATGTTCATTAATGTATTCATTTAACCATCCCTAAGTGCCTACTGTGCACTATTCACTATTGTAGGTACTAAGCATAGAGTACTGAGCTAAGTAGACAAATATCCCTGCCCTCATAGAACTTACCTTCTAGAAGAGTCAGACAATAACAAGTAAACAAATAAAACCTGCACTGTGTCAGAAGGTGATTAGTGCCATGGAGACAAACACCAGGAAAGGGGATGGGAAGTACCTTAGGGGAGGGGTCGTGCTGCTTTAAATACAGAAGTCAGGGAAAGTCTCTCTGGAATGGAGATTTGTGAGCTGTCAGTGAATTACAATCAATTCTTGTTTACTTTGTGGAGTTATGTTCTATAAAGTTGCCAGAAACATGGAATTAGCAAGTACTAAACCATTTCTCTCAGAGGAAAGACAGGGCTAGGCTCCTGTGAGCGTCTGGTCACAACATCTCCATCAACCAATCAATTGATAACTTTGTTTTATGTTTGTTCCTGTCTAAAGACACCTTCTTCAATACATTTTGTTGACTCATTGACATTATTCTCAAGGGCAGCTGACTATGACTCATGCTTGAATGAAACTTACCTAGCATGTATTTTCTCTGTTGGACATACAGCCTTCTTGCATGTAGGAACAACAGACAGCACTACAGGGATGTGTTGAGGACATTTTAAACAGTGAAATCACCAGCAGAAAGAATGAAAATATAAAAAATGTGGCACATATAAGCCGCAAAAGGGCCCTCGTTCACAGTGTGGGGCTGAAACAAGAAGTTGGAACACTGCCTTGTTAGACCTCACCCAGGGATGTGTGTGTTGGGTGTCTCAAATTTTTCACCACCCTGCGCATGTTCTTGAATGATTACAAAAGAACTGCAACTATTGACTTTGGGGTTATAAATACATTTTAGAAAGCAGGTGAATTTGCAAATATGGAATCCACAAATAATGAGACCCTATTGGTGTCAGCTTGCTGGAAAAAGAAGGAGGATTTCTTGGAAGGTGACTTGAATTGATAGCAGTGGGTTTCCTGATTCCCTGCTCAGTGCTCTACAGTGGTTTAAATTTTGTGGTTATTTTAGGCTGGGCACGGTGGGTCATGCCTGTAATCTCAGTAATTTGGGAGGCTGAGGTGGGCAGATCACCTGAGGTCAGGAGTTCAAGACCAGCATGGCCAAAATGATGAAACCCCATCACTACTAAAAATACAAAAAT
The DNA here is from genome assembly GCF_000001405.40 of Homo sapiens. Taxonomy (NCBI): domain Eukaryota; kingdom Metazoa; phylum Chordata; class Mammalia; order Primates; family Hominidae; genus Homo; species Homo sapiens. Next base: position 56,025,492 of record NC_000001.11, on the reverse strand, counting down.
TGGCTGGGTGTGGTGGCAGGCACCTGTAATCCCAGCTACTGGGGAGGCTGAGGCAGGAGAACCGCTTAAAGCAAGGAGGCAGAGGTTGCAGTGAGCTGAGATTGCACCACTGCACTCCAGCCTAGGCAACAGAGTGAGACTCCCTCTCAAAAAAATTTTTTTGGTTGTTCTAAACATTTGTCCCCAATAAGCTTTGGTATAAGACTTTCCTCTATAAGCCACTCGAATGCTATTGAGTGGAAAAAAAGGAAAGAGTTAGAAAAGCCAGACGCAGAAGCAGAGAAACTTCTCCATCCAGGAGTTTTGTTCTAGCAGATAGCCTGCTTATGTTTCCTGTGGACCTTTTAGTTTGGGGACCTAATTCTAGCCACTGTGCAGGCATAATTCGCAACTCATTCCAGTGTAATTAATTCCTCCTCTCCACCTCACCTCTAACTCCCCCACTTCCCTATTTCCAAACATGACCCAAAAAAGGAATTAACAAAATTTCTTTTCTGATTTGTGACTTGTCCCAAAGAGCATGGTGCCTCTAATTGGGTGATTTCTATCAAAAAGTTGAGAGCAATTTTATGTTGTCTTTAAACCAGAACTCTTCCCTCCTGGGAACACAATTCCAATTTTTGTAATGAAAATCATTGGAAACAGGAATTTTTGTGAAAAGTAGCTTGAGAAAGGCAGTTACAGAAAACAGGGCTCAGCAATGCAGCTTGACCATGGTAAGAAAAGTTCTCGAGTGGAGTGATTGTATCTAGGCTCTGGATTGAGCAAGGGACAAAACTCAGTGGCTAGACCCAGCTGTATTAGTCTGTTCTCACTCTACTATAAGGAAATACCTGAGACTGGGTAATTTATAAAGAAAAGAGGTTTAATTGGCTCATGGTTCTGCAGGCTGTACAGGAAGCATAGCAGCTTCTGTTTCTGGGGAAGCCTCAGGAAGCTTTCGATCATGGCAGAAGGCAAAGGAGAAGTAAGACATCTCACATGGCCAGAGCAGAAGGAAGAGAGGGAGGGGGAAGGTGCTACACACCTTTAAACAGGTAGATATCATGAGAACTCACTATCACGATGACATCACTAACATGGATGGTGTTAAACCATGAGAATCTGCCCCAGGATCCAGTCACCTCCTGTTGCAGGCCGGAAGAGTGAGGGTCATGATCAACTCAGTATACCACTGGAGGCTATATGAGTAAACAGCAAACTGTTCTCATGAAAACAGGTTGTTGGCAAACTGACAAACTGCGTCTGCCACCCAGAAGGAATGCTGAGGGCAGTCACGCCCCAAGTGCAGTGTTTTTTGTGATTAGGCATATCTGAAGCCTGTTAGCAATAATGTGAACCTGTGATCAATTAAGCAGCTGACCAATCGTTGCCTCCTCTACCCTGCTCTTTCTACCCAATAAATACAAAGGGCTATAGAAGCTCAGGGCAGCTGCCCTTGCTCAGTAGAAGCTGGGAGCCCTCTTCTTCTTCCTTGGCCCCTTCCTTTAAAATAGTTACTTTTGTCTTAAGTTCTCATTTGTGCATTTGTCCCCCTTCGTTCAGTCCCGTAGTAACCATGGCAAACCGCAGCAACCTCCCTCAAGGCCCCACCTCCAATACTGGGGATTACCATTGAACAAGAGATTTGGGTGGAGAGTCAGATCCAAACCATATCAGCAGCCCTACTTGTACTCACTGTGTAAAATTGGGGAAGTCTTTCCTATTTTCTGTTCTTCCATTTTCTAACTGTGAAATGAGGGGTTGAATACTTCAGAAGATAACTCCCAGCCTTAACATTCTGGGACACCAGAAAGACAAAATAAAATCAAAATATACTGTTTGTCTACTTTATTAATTTATTTAAAAGTATTTTGAAGAAGGTTTTGACCTACTTCACTTCTGAACAAATCTTGCTAAGGCCAAAAACTTTTAGAGTTTTTAGGGTTTTGGCGTCTCCATTGACATGCACTAAATGTCTCTATTTATATAGTCTTGTGATATGGTTTGGCCATGTCTTCACCCAAATCTAAACTTGAATTTTATCTCCCAGAATTCCTACGTGTTGTGGGAGGGACCCAGGGGGAGATAATTGAATCACAGGGGCTGGTCAATCTCATGCAATTCTCATGATAGTGAATAAATTTCAAGAGATCTGATGGGTTTATCAGCGGTTTCTGCTTTTGCTTCTTTCTCATTTTCTGTTGTCTGCTGCTCTATGAGATGTGCCTTTCACCTTCCGCCATGATTCTGAGGCCACTCCCATGTGGAACTGTAAGTCCAATTGAACTTCTTTTTGTTCCCAGTTTCGGGAATGTCTTTGTTAGCAGCATGAAAATGGACTACAGTAAATTGGTACCAGTAGAGTGGGGCACTGCTGAAAAGATACCCAAAAATGTGGAAGCAACTTTGGAACTGGGTAACAGGCAGAGGTTGGAACAGTTTGGAGGGCTCAGAAGAAGATAGGAAAATGTGGGAAAGTTTGGAACCTCCTAGAGACTGGTTGAATGGCTTTGACAAAAATGCTGTTAGCAATATGGACAATAAGATCCAGGCTGAGGTGGTCTCAGATAGAGATGAGGAACTTGTTGGGAACTAGAGCAAAGGTGACTCTTGTTATGTTTTAGCAAATAGACTGGTGGCATTTCGCCCCTGCCCTAGAGATTTGTGGAACTTTGAACTTGAGAGATGATTTAGGGTATCTGGCAGAAGAAATATCTAAGCAGCAAAGAATTCAAAAGGTGACTTGGGTGCTGTTAAAAGCATTCCATTTTAAAAGGGGAACAGAGAATAAAAGTTCCGAAAATTTGCAGCCTCATGATGCAGTAGAAAAGAAAAACCCATCTTTTGAGGAGAAATTCAAGCCAGCTGTAGATATTTGCATAAGTAGCAAGGAGCCTAATGTTAATCGCCAAGACCATGGGGAAAATGTCATCAGGCCATGTCAGAGACATTCATGGCAGCCCCTCCCATCACAGGTCCAGAGGTGCAGGAGGAAAAAGTGATTTTGTGGGCTGAGCCCAGGGTCCCTGTGTCATGTGCAGCCCAGGGACTTGGTGCCCTGTGTCCCAGCTGCTCCAGCCATGGCTGAAAGGGGCCAACGTGGAGCTTGGGCTGTGGCTTCAGAGGGTGGAAACCCCAAGCCTTGGCTGCTTCCATGTGGTGTTGAGCCTGCAGGTGCACAGAAGTCAAGAATTAAGGTTTGGGAACCTCTGCTTAGATTTCAGAAAATGTATGGAAATGCCTGGATGCCCAGGCAAAAGTTTGCTGCAGGGGTGGGGCCCTCATGGAGAACCTCTGCTAGGGCAGTGTGGAAGGGAAATGTGGGGTCAGAGCCCCCACACAGAGTCCCTACTGGGGCACCACCTAATGAAGCTGCAAGAGGGCCACCAACCTCCAGACCCCAGAATGGTAGATCCATTGACAGCTTGCACTGTGCACCTGGAAAAGCCACAGACACTCAATGCCAGCCCATGAAAGCAGCCAGGAGGGAGGCTGTACTCTGCAAAGCCACATGACAGAGCTGCCCAAGACCATGGGAACCCACCTCTTATATCAGTGTGACCTGGATATGAGACCTGGAGTCAAAGGAGATTGCTTTGGAGCTTTAAAATTTGACTTCCCTGCTGGATTTGGGACTTGCATGGGCCTTATAACTCCTTTGTTTTGGCCAATTTCTCCCATTTAGAATGGCTGTATTTACCCAATACCTGTACCCCCATTGTATTTAGGAAGTAACTAGGTTGCTTTTGATTTTACAGGCTCATAGGCAGAAGGGACTTCCGTTGTCTCAGATGAGACTTTGGACTGTGGACTTTTGGGTTAATGCTGAAATGAGTTAAGACTTTGGGGGACTGTTGGGAAGGCATGATTGGTTTTGAAATGTGAGGACATGAGATTTGGAAGGACCAAGGGTGGAATGATATGGTTTGGCTGTGTCTGCACACAAATCTCAACTTGAATTATATCTCCCAGAATTCTCACGTTTTGTGGGAGGGACCCAGGGGGAGATAATTAAATCAAGGGGGCCAGTCTTTCCTGTGCTATTCTCCTAATAATGAGAATTTTCCTTCTCTTTATGAGGCCTATTCACCTGTGCTGTCTCTTTGGAAAACCTATGCTCCCATTTGTTTTTAGGAGGGGTTCATTTGTTCAATTTTTAAGAATATGCTTGTGTCTCACCTAATCTATGAAGCCTTTCAAGAATAGGTTTATTTGCCAGGTTTATTTGAATTTCTCCACTCCATATTGGGGGAGAGTTCCAGCAAAGCTCTGGTAACTCTGGTAAACTTACTTATTTATACACTCATCTTCCTCAGTAAACTGTAAATCCTTGACACACATGAATAAATCTCATGAAATCTGATGGGTTTATCAGGGGTTTCCACTTTTGCTTTTTTCTCATTGTCTCTTGTCTGCCACCCTGTGAAACATGCCTTTCACCTTCCACCATGATTGTGAGGCCTCCCCAGCCATGTAGAACTGTAAGTCCAATTGAACCTCTTTTTCTTCCCAGTTTTGGGTATAGCAGCACAAAATGAACTAATACATTGTGGTACTCTTGGTAAGAAAGTATAATTCCTTAGCAAAGGATCTAACATGTTTTATGATTTAACCCTTGCCTACCAACTTGGCCTTACCTCTCCTCATCCCCTCCTCTCTCCCACCTTTGCCATTATTCACCCCACATCAAACCATGAAGAATGTCTTCACTTCCTTCTCTTTATCAGGCCTATTCACCTGTGCTCTCTCTTTGGAAAGCCCATGTTCCCGTTTGTCCTTTTGGGAGGGGTTCATTTGTTCAATTTTTAACAACACACTTGTGTCTCACCTAATCTATGAAGCCTTTCAAGAACATTGCCAGGTTTATCTGAAATCCTCCACGCCATACTAGTGGAGAGTTCCAGCAAAGCTCTGGTAACTCTGGTAAACTTACTTATTTGTACACTCATCTTCCTCACTAAACTGTGAATCCTTGACACACATATATACAGTCATGCACTGCATAATAAGATTTTGCTTGCATATACAATGACAGTCCCATAAAATTATAATGAAGCTGGAAAATTCCTATCATCTTATGACTTTGTAGTCCTCATGACATCATAGGGCAGCACGTTAATCACATGTTTATGTTGGTGCTGGTGTGAGCAAACCTACTGCACTGCTAGTCATGTAAAAGTATAGCACATGCAATTATGTACAGTACATAATACTTGGTAATGACCATAAATAACTGTATTACTGGTTATGTATTTACTATACATTTATCATTATTTTAGAGTGTACATTCCCTACTTTAAAAAAAGTCAACTGTGAAACAGCCTCAGGCAGGTCCTTCAGGCGGTAATTCAGAAGAAGACATTGCTATCATAGGAAATTTCACAGGAAGTAGGTAAGACATGTGAACCTGATGTTGAAATGCTGTCTCCTATGACAACTCCATGTGTGTTATTGCCCCGAAGACCTTCTAGTGGGACAAGATGTGAAGGTGAAAGACAGTGATATTGATGATCTTGACCCTAAATTAATGTGTGTTTGTGCCTTATTTTTTAACAAAAAAAGTATAAAGTTAAAAAAATAAAGTTTATAAAGTATATAAAGAAAATATTTTTGCACAGTTGAACAGTGTGTTTGTATTTTTAGCTAAGTGTTATTACAACAGAGTCAAAAAGCTAAAAAGAGTTTAAAAAGTTACAGTAAGCTAAGGTTAATTTACTTATTGAAGAAAGAAAATTTTCTTAATGAAGTGTAGCTTAAACATAAAGTGTTTATAAAATCTATAGTAGTATACAGTAATGACCTAGGCCTTCATATTCACTCATCACTCTCTGACTCATCCAGAGCAACTTCCAGTCCTGCAAGCTCCTTTCTTGGTGAGTGACCTATACAGGTGTACCAGTTCTTTTCTTTTATATTGTATTTTTATTGTACCTTTTATATGTTTAGATACAGAAATACATAACATTGTGTTACAATTACTTACAGTATTCAGTACAATAACATGCTATACAGGTTTGTTGCCTAGGAACAATAGGCCATACCATATAGCCTAGGTGTGTGGTAGGCTATACCATCTAGGGTTGTGTAAGTACGTTCTATGGTATTCACATGAGAAAATCAACAAATGATGCATTTCTCAGAATATATCCCCATAATTAAGTGATGCACAACTGTATCTTTTTACCGCAAACCCGGAGAAGTGTTTGACAGATGGTAGATACTCAAGAATGTCTCATGAATGAAGAATTAATTAATTAATGGATCCAAAATAAAGAACATGTGTGGAAAACTGAGGCATGCTTACCACAAATGAAGGGGTCAACTTCTACTTAGCAACAGCTGTGAATGCCATGATAAATGTGGGCCCAGTATTGCCAGCTCTTCCAATTTTTCAAGACAAGCAAAAAAATGTGATAAATGTGATTGTATTGTGGAAAATATTATAATTTTTAATATTTTCAAGTCCTTTAAAATTATTTAAAATCTGGCCTGGCAAATATAATGTATACTTTCAAGTGTGCAGTCTTTACCTGAGAAGAAAATCCACATTCCTTTGCATATAATCCATGCCTTTCCAAACTGGTACTTGCCTGCCTTTATTCTCAACTGGGCACTCTTGGCAATAACTTTCAGTTGCTATTTTAGTTTCGGTGTTTTGGTAACAACTCATTTTCTTCAAGACCATTTCCTCTTATGGGCTTCTCTTTCATTCTTTAATAGGAGAATTTCTCTCACATTTCAACCCCAGGTTCACATATCTTATCTATTTCCTATGAATACTTCTACTCTATAGAAAGAGACACTCTCTTCTCCAGGATCCAACAGAGCTCTGGGTGGATTTCTATTATTGTTCTTGACCCTGTATAGTATAGTCATTTGTCTGTGAGCTATTCCAAACCATTCTTTTATTTATATATTTTTGAAAAATGTGTTTAGTTCCTTCACTGTGCCAGATACTGTGTGGCTATTAAGGATTCAGATGTAAAATCAACATTCTCCCTGATTCCAGGGAGCATTCCATGTAAAAGGGACTGTATTTGTCTCTGAATCTCTGTCACTTTGCACCAAATGATAGGGACCCAGTAAATTTTATTAAATGAGTAAAGTATACAGTGCTAATTTTCTGAAGATTTATGATTAACAATGCACTGTGGAGGAAGCAAAAAATATATACTATGCTGTCTTGCACATAGCAGGTACCACAGGAATACTTGGAAATGTTAATAAGAAGTGAAGCCCTCTGGATTTTTATGATTTTCCTGGGGATATCTATATATCTAGCTGCATCTATATCTACATACAGATGTAGACATATAAATGGAAGATAATAATTGCATTTGAAGTCCTATATATAAAGTAGATTATAAGTGTTACAGAAGTTTCATATAACAAACGGTAACCACGGGATGGGGCAATTAAGGAAGAAATCAGTAAAGAAGTGGTTTCTGAGTTGTGGGTTAAAAGATTAATATGATTAGGTTGGGGGAAAGAATGGAGCTCATATTTATGGATACAGGTAGTGATGTAGGAATGGGCAAGATTTATTTGGAGGTGAGCCAACGGGAAGAAAAGAAGGGAAACAATATTTAGTGAACACCTTCTATGGACCATACGTGATGATACACATATCACACTTCATTATCTCATATACTTACCACAGCCAGGCTGTAAGCTCCATAAGGGCAGGGCCTTCTCTACTTGATTCATCACTGTATGCTTGCACCAAGCACCGTGTGTTGCACATAGTGGGCATTCATGAATATTTGCTAATAAAGGAATGGATGACCCTACAAAGGAGATAAAAATAAGCAAACCTAAGCTCCGAGATGGACAGTGACTTGCCTGATGTCCAGGCCAGTAGTTCTCAAAGCATGGTCCTTGGATTAGCACCATGAGCATCCCTGGGGAACTTGTTAGGAAGAAAAATTCTTCAGACCTACTGAATCAGAAATCCAGGTGCTTCTGACTCACACCAAAGTTTGAGACATACTCATGCAGGGTATCAAGTGACAGTGCAAGGTCTGTCTGGCTTAGAATCCTGAACCGTGGTCTGCCTATAGCCAAGAAATTATTTAAGACTACATTTTCCAAAGTTGGTTTTGTGGAACATTTTCTGCCCAATGTTAATAAATATTACTTGACAAAAAAGTTCCATGCCCCAGATATGTTTGGGAAATACTGCACTAAGCAAGGTAAAAAAGTTTCTTTACTGCAGAAATTTTCCAGGGTTTTGAAGTGCACTGTATTGTGAATTTCTGAGAAGGGAATATGATTTCCCAGTCTTATCTGAAGAAGAAGAGCATAGTAGTGAGTGTGGGCTTCAGTGGCTGACCACCTCAAATTCTGTCCTTATCATTGACTAACTTTGTGATCATGGGCAGTCAGCTAATAGCTATCTCTTAGTTTCCTAACCTGTAAGTGGACAATAATAATTCCTACTTCATGGAGATTTTGTGGAGATTAAATAATAGTGTAAGTAAATAATTTACCACAATTTCTGGTATACAGTAAGCTTGCAATAGATTTTAACCATTACAATTATTATTTTTTAAAAATTTTAGGTTCAGGGGTACAAGTCAAGGTTTGTCATGTAGGTTAGCTCATGTCATGGGGGTTTATTACACAGAATATGTTATCACTCACGTATTAAGCCCAGTACCCAAGAGTTATTTTTTCTGCTCCTCTCCCTCCTCTCACCTTTCATCCTCAAGTAGACCCCAGTTTCCGTTGTTACTTTCTTTGTGTTCATGAGTTCTCATTATTTAGCTCCCACTTTTAAGTGAGAACATGTGGTATTTGTTTTTCTGTTCCTGTGTTAGTTTGCTAAGAATAATGGCCTCCAGCTCAACTATGTTCCCACAAAGACATAATCTTGTCCTTTTCTTGTGGCTGTATAGAATTCCATGGTGGTTATGTACCACATTTTCTTTGTCCAATCTGTCATTCATGGGCATTTAGGTTGATTCCATGTCCTGGCTATTGTAAATAATGCTGCAATGAACATTTGCATGCATATGTCTTTATGGTAGAATGATTTATATTCTTTTGGGTATATACCCAGTAATTAGATTGCTGGGTAGAATGGTAGTTCTGCTTTTAGCTCTTTGAGAAATCGCCATACTGCTTTCCACAATGGTTGAACTAATTTACACTCCCACCAACAGTGATATGCATTCCTTTTTTTCAGCAACCTTGCAAGCATCTGTTGTTTTTTGACTTTTTAGTAACAGCTATCCTGACGGGTGTGAGATGGTACCTCACTGTGGTTTTGATTTACCTTTTTCTAATGATCGTGATATTGAGCTTTTTTTCATATGCTGTTGGCCACATGTATATCTTTTTTTGAAAAGTGTGTCTGTTCATGTACTTTGCCACTTTTCAGTGGAGTTGTTTTTCTCTTGAAAATTTGTCTAAGTTTCTTATAGATGCTGGATAGTAGACCTTTGACAGATGCATACTTCGCAGATATTTTCTCCCATTCTGTAGGTTGTCTGTTTACTCTGTTGATAGTTTCTTTTGCTGTGCAGGATGCTCTTAAGCTTAATTAGATCTCATTTGTCAATTTTTGCTTTTGTTGTGATTGCTTTTTTTGTGCTGTTCCTATGTCCAGGATGGTATTGCTTAGGTTGTCTTACAGGGTTTTTATAGTTTTGGGTTTTATATTTAAGTCTTTAATCCATCTTGAGTTGATTTTTGTATATGGTGTAAGGAAGGGGTCTAGCTTCAATCTTTTGCGTATGGCTAGCCAGTTATCCCCACACCATTTATTAAATAGGGAATCCTTTCCCCATTGCTTGTTTTTGTCATTTTAGTCAAAAATCAGATGGCTATAGGTGTGTGGCCTTGTTTCTGGGCTCTCTATTCTGTTCCATTGGTCCACGTGTCTGTTTTTGTACCAGTACCATGCTGTTTTGGTTACTGTAGCCCAGTCGTATGGTTTGCAGTTGGGTAATGTGATGACTCCACCCTTTACTTTTCGCTTAGGATTACCTTGGCCATTCAGGCTGTTTTTCGGTCCCATATGAATTTTAAAATAGTTTTTTTCTAGCTTTGTGAAGAATGTCATTTGTAGTTTGATAGGAATAGCATTAAATCTGTACATTGCTTTGGGCAGCATGGCCCTTTCAATAATATTGATTCTCCCTATCCATGAGCATGGGATGTTCTTCCATTTGTTTGTGTCTTCTTTGATTTATTTGAACAGTGTTTTGTAATTCTTATGGTGGAGATCTTTCACCCCCTTCGTTAGCTGTATTCCTAGGTATTTATTCTTTTCATGGCATTTGTGAATGGGATTGCCTTTCTGATTTGGCTTCAGCTTGGCTATTGTTAATGTATAGAAATGTTAGTAACTTTTGTACATTGATTTTCTATCTTGACACATTGCTGAAGTTTTTTATCAGCTGAAGGAGCTTTTGGGCCAAGACTATGGGGTCCTCTAGATGTAGATTCATGTTGTCTGCAAACAGGAATACTTTGAATTCCTCTCTTCCTACTTGGATGCCCTTTATTTTTTTTCTCTTGCCTGATTTCTCTGGCTAGGACTTCCAATACCATGTTGAACAGTAGCATTGAGAGATGGCATCCTTGTCTTGTGCCAGTTTTCAAGTGGAATGCTTCCAGCTTTTGCCCATTCAATATGATGTTGGCTGCAGGTTTATCATAGATGGCTCTTATTATTTTGAGGTATGTTCCTTCAATACCTGGTTTTTTAAGAGTTTTTTTTTTTTAACATGAAGGGATGTTGACTTTTATTAAAAGCCTTTTCTTCTGTTGAGATAGTCATGTGGTTTTTGTCTTTAGTTCTGCTTATGTAATAAATCACATTTATTGATTTGCATATGTTGAACCAACCTTGCATCCTGGAGATGAAGACTACTTAATCATGGTGAATTCGCTTTTTGATATGCCACTGGATTCAGTTTGCAAATATTTTGTTGGGGATTTTTGCATCAAGATTCATCAATGACATTGGCCTAAAGTTTACTTTTTTTCTTGTGTTTCTTCCAGGTTTTGGTATCAGTATGATGCCAGCCTCATAGAATGAGTTGGGGAGAAGACCCTTCTCCTCAATTTTTTTGGAATAGTTTCAGTAGAAATGGCACCAGCTCTTCTTTGTACGTCTGGTAGAATTCAGCTATGAATTCTTCTGGTTCTGGGCTTTTTATGGTTGGTAGGCTATTTATTACTGATTCAATTTCAGAGCTCATTATTTGTCTGTTTAGGAAGTTAATTTCTTCCTGGTTCAGTCTTGGAAGGATGTAAATGTCCAGAATTTATGTGTCTCTTCTAGGCTTTCTAGTTGGTGTGCACAGAGGTGTTTGTAGTAGTTTCTGATGGTTATTTTTATTTCAGTGGGGTCAGTGGTAACATCCCTTTTGTTATTTCTAATTGTGTTTATTGGAATTTTCTCTCTTTTCTTCTTTATTAGTCTAGCTAGCAGCCTATCTATCTTATTAGTTTTTTCAAAAAATAAACTCCTGGATTCATTGATCTTTTGAATGGTTTTTTGTGTCTTGATTTCCTTCAGTTCATATCTGATTCTGCTTTGTTGTCTTCTGCTACCTTTGGGGTTGATTTGCTCTGGCTTCTCTAATTCTTTCAGTTGTGATGTTAAGTTGTTAATTTGAGATCTGTCCAGCTTTTTGATGTGGGCATTTAGTGCTATGAATCTTCCTCTTAATGATGCCTTAGCTGTGTTGCAGAGATTCTGGTATGTTGTATATTTGTTCTCATTAGTTTCAAATAACTTCTTGATTTCAGCCTTAATTTTGTTATTTACCCAAAAGTCATTCAGGAGCATGTTATTTAATTTCAATGTAATTGCATGGTTTTGAGTGATTTTCTTAGCCTTGACTTCTATTTTTATTGTGTTGTGGTCCAACCATGTTTTTGGTATGATTTTGCTTCTTTTGCATTTGCTGAGGATTGTTTTATGTCAAACTATATGGTCTATTTTAGAGTATGTGCCATGTGGCAATAAGAAGAATGTATATTCTGTTGCTTAGCAGGAGAGAGTTCTGTAGAGGTCTATCAGATCCATTTGATCCAATGTTGACCTTAAGTCCTGAATATCTTTGTTAAATTTCTGCCTCAATTATCTGTCTAATACTGTCACTGAAGTGTTGAAGGCTCCCACTGTTATTCTGTGGGAGTCTGTGTCTCTTTGCAGGTCTCTAAGAGCTTGTTTTATGAATCTGGGTGCTCCTGTGTTGAGTGCATGTATACTTAGGATAGTTAGGTCTTCTTGTTCAATTGAACCCTTTATCATTATGTAATGTCCTTCTTTGTCTTTTTTGATCTTTGTTGGTTTAAAGTCTGTTTTGTTTGAAATTAGGATTGTAAACCCTGATTTTTTTCTGTTTTTCATTTGCTTCGTAGATTTTCCTTCTTCCCTTTATTTTGAGTCTATGGGTGTCATTTCATGTGAGATAGGTCTCTTGAAGACAGTGTACCTTTGGGTCCTTCCTTTTTATCCAGCTTGCCACTCTATGCCTTTTAATTGAGGCATTTAGCCTGTTTACATTAAAGGTTAGCATGGATGTGTATAGATTTGATCCTGTCATTGTGTTGTTAGCTGGTTATTATGCTGGTTTGTTTGTGTGATTGCTTTATAATGTCACTGGTCGGTTTGTATTTAAGTGTGCTTTTGTATTAACTGGTAGTGGTTTTTCCTTTCTATATTTAGTACTTCTTTATTTATTTATTTATTTTTATTTTTATTTTTTGAGATGGAATCTCACTCTGTCACCCAGGCTGGAGTGTAGTGGCACGATCTTGATTCACTGCAACCTCTGCCTCCCAGATTCAAGCAATTCTCCTGCCTCAGCCTCCCAAGTAGCTGCGATTACAGGCATGTGCCACCATGCCTGGCTATTTTTTTTGTATTTTTAGTAGAGACGAGGTTTCACCATATTGGCCAGGCTGGTCTCAAACTCCTGACCTTGTGATCCACCCACCTCGACCTCCCAAAGTGCTGGGATTACAGGCATGAGCCACCGCACCTGGCCCTTTATTTCATTTTATTTTATTTTATTTTATTTTATTCTGGAGACGTAGTCTCACTCTGTTGCCCAGGCTGGAGTGCAGTGGTGTGATCTTGGCTCACTGCAAACTCTGCCTCCTGGGTTCAGGCAATTCTCCTGCCTCAGCCTCCAAAGTATCTGGGATTACAGGCATGTGCAAAAATGCCTGGCTAATTTTTGCACTTTTAGTAGAGATGGGGTTTCACCATGTTGGCCAGGCTGGTATTGACCTCCCGACCTCAAGCAATCTGCCTGCCTTGGCCTCCCAAAGTGCTGGGATTACAGCCAGGACCCACCGCACCCAGCCTTTAGTAATCTTTTCAAGATTTCTTGTAAGGCAGGTCTGGTAGTAAACAAACTCCCTCCCTCAACATTTGCTTATCTGGAAAAAAATCTTATTTCTCCTTTGCTTAGAAAGTTTAATTTGGCTAGATATGAAATTCTTGTTTGAAGGTTTTTTCTGTAAGAATATTTGTTTCGTTTTTCGTTTTTTTGAGACGGAGTCTCACTCTGTCACTAGGCTGGAGTGCAGTGGCCCAATCTCGGCTCACTGCAACCTCCGCCTCCTGGGTTCAAGTGATTCCTCTGCCTCAGCCTCTCGAGTAGCTGGGACTACAGGTGTGCACCATCACACCTGGATAATTTTTTGTATTTTTGGTAGAGATGGGGTTTCACCATGTTGGCCAGGATGGTCTTGATCTCCTGACCTCATGATCTTCCCGCCTCAGCCTCCCAAAGTGCTGGGATTACAGGCATGAGGCACCACGCCTGGCCTCTGTAAGAATATTGAATACAGGCCCCGAATATCTTCTGGCTTGTAGAGTTTCAGCTGAGAGGGCTGCCGTTACCTTCATGGGGTTCCCTTTGCAGGTGACCTGTCCTTTCTTTTTAGCTGCCTTTAACATTCTTTCTTTTATTTTGACCTTGGAAAATCTGATGATTATGTGTCTTGAGGATAATCTTCTTGTGTAGAAACTTGCAGGGGTTCTTAGTTTCATTGGACTGGGTTTTGCTGTTCTCCTGAATCTTGATGATTTTCATTTCTATACATGTTCTGAATTCTATTTCTATCATTTCAGCCAACTCAGCCTGGTTAAGAGCTCTTGTTGGAGAATTGGTGTGGTCATTTGGAGGACACTCTGGCCATTTGGGTTACCAGAGTTCTTTCATTGGTTATTTCTCAACTCTGTGTGTAGGTGTTCCTTTAACTGCAGTGTAGATTCAGTATAGTTAATAGACTTCTTTTCTGATTCTTTTCACAGGGCCAAGGCTTTGTGCAGGGTCTTTATTTGAAGCTGACTTCTTGTCTTTGGTTTCATGGGGGGTGGGGGGCATGTTAGTGAGGTATTTTTAATGTTGAAGCTTTGGGATGTGATCCAGTAGGTGGCATTTAGGCATATTGGTCAGTTGGTAGACTCTTGCTTGGTTATTTGGCTCTCTTATGTTTCCTCACAGTTGCAGCTGTGTTCCCTCTCAATGCTCTGAAGGTGTGGGCTCCTCTCCCCATTGAGTGCTGGCTGTAGATTGTAGCTTGGTACTCCTAGGCTGCCCACTACTGCTCTGGGGCAATCTCAGGGTTTATGTTCCTCTCCTAACTTGGAGGCAGCAAAAAAGGGACCTTAGTTGTGGTAGTGGCCAAGGGTCTTTTGCTTGTTTCCTGGGGGTGCCACCACAGAGAGATGCAGGTCAGCAATTGCTCAGTACATTCAGCCCAGGATGGAGGGTCTGTGCTGTGGGCCTAAGCTAAGGGATCCCTATCTGGTGATGTGCAGTTGGGGGTGAGACCTGTGGTAGATGGACTGGCCTCCTCTCCTTGGGTCAACTGCAACTTGTTGGAGGTATGGATAAGACACTTGGGGTCTTTACTTCTTCATTAGTCCAAGGGTAGCAAGGGCAGTTCCCCAGCAAAGGCAGTGGCAGAAGGGCTTTAAGTTGTCCCTAGGGGCTCTGTCAATGGAGTTGCAAAGCTGCTATTGGCTTAATAACCCCAGCAGGGGGTGGCTGGAGGCCCAAGCCTAGATGATCTGCCTGGTGAGAAGATATGGGAACAGGCACCCAGGTAATAGTCTAGCCAGTTTCCCATAGAGCTGCTGTGGTATGCTGGGGGACCCCTCAAGTTTCTAGTCGCTTTGGATTTTCTAGTACCTAGCGAAATATCAAAGATGTTTGCCTGACCATCCCTCTGGAAGCTCCATCCCAGGGAGGCATAGACTTATCACAGGCCCAAATGCACCTGTAGGAGGTGGCTGGAGACCCCATTTGGGAGATCACACCCAGTGAGGAGAAATGGGATCACAGAACCGCTTAAAAATGCAGTCTGACCAGGATTTGGTAGAACAGCTTTGTTGTGCGGGGGGTCCTCTTTGGCCTCTGGTTGCCTCAGACTCTCCAGGGCCCCAAGGCTGGAATGGCTAAGTCAGCCAAACAGCAAAGATGGCAGCCTGCCCCTCCCCCTGGGAGTTTCATCTCGAGGAGGTATAATGCTGTTACCAGTGGCTGGCTGGAATTCCAAGCCAGAGCATCTTATCCTGTGAGGTGCTGTGGAAGCGGGGCCTGCTGACTGTCACTGTTCAGCCCCCTCGATTCAGCCCCTTTCCTAGGAGGATGTACAGGAGTCTAACCTCCTGCTTGCCAGAGTTGCAGCTGCTTTTGCGGGGAAGCCCAGAAAGCTTGGGTATCTAAGGCTCCTTGGTCTCCACATGTGCCTGAGTAGCTGCTCCTCCAAAACTCCATTAGCTCTGTGTGTCAGACGGAAGGCCCTGGTGGTGTGGGTTCATGAGGGGATCTTCTGACCTTGGGGTTGCAAAGATCCATGGGAAAAATGCGGGTTCCCAGGGTTGCACATTCCCTCATCAGTTCTCTGGACGGGGTAGGTTTCTCTGGTTCCACGTTGCTCTTGGGTGGACCATTGTCCTGTCGTGCTTTTTCCTATTCTCTGTGGGCCAGGTTGTTTCCTTGATTAGTTCCAATGCATGTACCTGGATATTTCAGTTGAAGGTGCTGTATTTACTCGCCCTTTCCATTCCTCTCTATGAGAGCAGGGCATACCAGCTGCTTCCAGTCGGCCATCTTGGCCACTCCCTACAATTATTCTTATTGTTAATATTATCAATAATTTTAGAAAATACTGCACATTGACTTACTCAACATCCATGTCAACCCCTCTCTAGGGTGCCTTCCTATGCTGGCTGGAAATCTAAAAACTGCCTTTGCCAGACAGCCTTGAGCTAAGGGGCAGAGTGTGACGTGGGTTATGCCAGGCAAACATTCTTAAATAAATTCTAGAAGAAAAAAGAGGCAATGAGAGGAGACAGCCAAGTAGGGTGATTGAATCATCTGGAAAGGGAAAATGGAGAACTATTCTATTCTTCTGGAGAAGACGAGGCAGAAGTTCTGGAGTCCAGTCTTAGCATCATAGGTACTCTTGGCAGGCAGCTGTGGTGGCAGTAGGGATATCTGCTAGTCTGACTACCAAACTAGTTGACAGACCAGTAGCATTGGCATCACTTGAGGGCTTGTTAGAAATGAAGAAGCTCAGGACATATGTCAGACCTACAGAATTGGAATCTGGATTAACCATGTCCCAGCAGATGTGTGTGCATATTAAAGTTTGAGAGGCATTGCACTAGAAGAGTCCTATGGGCCAGATCTATGGTATGGCTAGATATCTCCACTGGCTACATTTTAGCATTTCACATTGTTATCTAACATCATTTCATTAAAACTTTTTTTGTTCAAATTAGCTAGTATGGATTCAATTATTTGCAACTAAAAGTTGTGATTATATAACCACAGAAGTCTTTTTAGAGGGGAGGGAATTTTAGCATGTGACACTTTGCAAGCACTTTTGTAAAACAACAGAGAGGAAAAGGCCAACTTGTGTAATATGGGACCAGATTTTGGAGAGAAGTCCACTATTATTATCTTGAATCTGTTGCTCAGAAAGGCAAAGGAACCTTGCATTAGCAAGTGTAAAAATCCTCAACTGACAGAACTGGATTGTGTTTAAAACAATCTGGCAATTTTCAGTGGGGGCACTAATTTGCTTCCATGCACTTTGGATAAACATTTATTTCTCCATACAGAAAATGTACTTCGTATGTGCAAATTGTCTTGGTTAGTTATAGCAAGATGCTGAGGTCATGTTTTAGAAAATAACTTAAGCCAGTTGGGTCAAACGCACATCTTGGAATCTTCTTGGCAGAAAATAATAGGTCTAAAAAGTTCGGGGTGGCAGAGCACTAGCTGCTGTCCCCTAACTTTGCTACCAGTTTATCCTGAAAGCTAATCTCAGACCAAATTTTTCCATACCTATAAACATTTTTAAAAAAACAAATACATCATTGGCAAGCTGACACCAAAGAGTTCACGCATATGTTTTCTATAGTTGATCAAGCTCCAGATATTTGTCTTTTCAGGTGCTGTAAACACCATTTTGAATAAAAGATTTTTTATTTACCCTGAGGTAAACATAACAACTTTCTAGAGGCAGGGGTTTGTGACCCTTAAAGTCAACACCAGCCATCGAGAATCATCTCTCTTAGCCAATGCTTAGGAACATTTAGAGCTAAACATTTTAGCACCATTCTTAGACTATAGGCCTTCCTGAAATCTTATATCCTGTTAGGCCAGAGTGAGGAGAGTACAAATGTAAAAATGTGGGGAAATCACTCAAATATTTTTGCCAATTTTAATGCAGTTCACCAATGAAAGACCATTTCTAACAGACATCATGCTAGCCAACCATCAATTTCACCAATTAAAAACACTTATGGCATTTACTTTGCTAAAAATAATGAAGCTTTGGGATGGATTCAAACTATTGCTCTAGTAGCTGCCTCAGGAGTATAATCTCTTTGGTATGATGCTGGCTGATCACCTTTGTAGTACATATTCTTGACTAGAATGCTTGTGGAGGCCCTTGGGTTGTAACTATTAACCTAAGGAATACACACATAATTTCACATTATTTGTTTTGGCTAAATTACAATTTAAAAGTATGGATGTGGGTTTGTTTGGCATAAAGCAGTACTCTGGATTAATAGGGAAACCAGGCTCGAGTACTAATAAAGAATGTATTAATTTATTCCTTCTTTCATTGATAGGTGAGCCATGCATTGAGAGGGAGAGAGACAGAGAGAGAGAGAAAGGAAGAGAGAGAAAGACAGAGAGAAAGGAAGGAAGGAAGGAAAGAGAGAGAGAAAGGAAAGGAAAGGAATAAAAAGAAAAGAAACAAAGAGAAAAGAAGATGTGGTCCTAGAGTCGGCAGAAGATGCATAATGAAAATAACATGGCAGATATTATGGCAGATGAGCTCTAGATGTTGTCATCACTTCAACAATGGGTAGGTATAGGAGGGGTAGAATGAAATGGGTGATTCGTCCCTGAGGACATGACTTCCCCAAGAAAGTGATATGGGAGGTATGTTTTAAGAATGGAGCAGAAGATGACCAGTCCATACAGAGAGAGACAAAGTTGGGCAATGGTGTTGGTATTTAAACAATGGCAGTGTGCTTTAAAATCCACTTGAGTTATGGTGAGACCAATAAAGTTCTATTATTTTACATTCCTTGTCTCTCCTACTTGGCTCTACTTATGGATATAAAAGAATGAAAGAAAGTTGGATTTTTAGATGCTATAAACTAGAGTGCAATTGCTTTAGATTCAGAAAATCAAAAAAGATTCTTAGAACTGTTACTGCTATGCTGAAAACTCTTAGCTAGATATAAATCTGATTGTTTAACATCACTGGAGTTTTCCCCTTTGGGGAGGAAGTAAGGTAAAGGTTTTCTTGCGTTTTTTGATTGTTATTTGTTTTCAGTTATTCAAGATACCTAGTTCCTTATATCCACAGTTTCGTATAATGTATTCCTCAGGACTTCCTGTTCAGATCCTTATTCTGCCACTTACCATGCAACTGGTTTAAGTGCTTCAGCTTCCTAAACCTCTGAAGGGATAATGATATTGATTTTATTTATTATGAGAGTTAAATTAAATAATTTTATATAAAGTGCCTAGTCCCCTGCCCATCACCTAGTAGAGAAACTCAATATATGATAGTCACAACAGTATTACATTATAAATAATATTAATACAATTTAAAAAATTTTAATTTTTCATCGACTGTGACACTGTACAGGTGAGAAGGGGAGATTCACTTAGGGTGGTGGGAATTCCCTAGGCCAGGGGTCATTGAGCTATTGATTTATCCCGGCCATTGAGGTTCATTTTAGTTTCAAAACTGAGCTTACAAAGACACCTTTATGTGGTAGTGGCCCAACTTGGCAGCCCTGAATAAAGATGCTATTTTGCATAAATCTTGAAACTGCCCTATATTCAGACTCACCCTTCAGTCTTCCAATTGCTGGCAATCCTCCCCACTGCTGATTCTTAATTTTCTCCTGGCTTCCAATGGTCAGGCAGCTTCCAATGCTCTTGCAGGGTGTCTCCTGCAAGAACTTCCATTGCCTACCTCCATCACTGCCTTTCTGATCCAATAAAGTTATATTCTGGCCCATCCATAGATAGTCAATAAGGAATCCTCCTCCTTCCATCAGTGGAAAGAGTAGGCACTTCAAGGTCTGAAAAGCCTGGTATCCAGTCCTGGCCGTGAATGAACAGTGTGGCCTTGGGAAGGTTGCTTCACCTCTCTGAGATTCTTTTTCCTCAATTGTAAGATTAAGATAAAATATGCAGTTTAGGAATTATAGAGAGGATTGAGGAAGCTGATGCATGTAAAGCATCTTATACGGTGTTGGTACAGAGTAGATGCTCAGGAAATAGGTGGGTGATACTATTTTTATTGTCTTTATCATCATCATTATTTCTATTATAACTTCTATTATAATAACTTCTCTCTTGGCTAGGGTGAAAAATGCATAGGGGTTTGTATATATATATGTATGTGTGTATATATATATATATATATATATATATATATAAAACTGTTTTCTCATTATAGCTCATTTGTTGTTTTCACTTGATCCTTAGCACTTCCATAAAAGTCAGAGATCCAGAGTCTCTATACAGCAACTCCCTAAGAAATGGTGTCAGATGTGTGACACCTAGCACTTAGGCAAACATGATTTATTAAACATATCTTAAAGACAAGAAAAGCAAGTCATAGAGTATATGTGAATATTTAGGACATAGAATTCTAACATTCTAACAAGATCAGACTTTGAAAGGCAATTTGGTCTAAGGTTTAGAATATTTTAAAGAATGAGTTTTAAACTTCAGCCTACTTAACCTGTCAGAACCAATAGCAGCAGCAACAACACTATGAGGTTTCTCTTTCTTTCCTCCCATTCTCAAGGTAGTAGGGATGAGGAGAAGGTACAAGGATTAAGTATTAACATGAAAAGGACAGATCTAGGCCCAAGGCCTGAGAGGAGAGAAGGAGGGGATGTGGCTTTAATTAATTCCTTTTCCAACCAACCCCAAAGGCCTTTGAGAGAAGTGATAATAGAAGATAACCTTGGAAACAGCTAGAAAGATAGTTCTGTGGGAACTAAATGGAGATAGGGGCAAGCCTAAGGGTGAGGTGGCCAAGAACACCCCAAAAAAACCAAGCGTGGAACTTGCCCTAACCACAAACTGAGGAGAAAATGAAGATTTTCCTCTTTCCTTGTTTTCCCTATCAGCAGAGGTAACATATTTGTGTATATATATTGTTTTGCAGTCACAGTAGTTCTAAAACACACGTACAACCATTTTTACAGATTGTTGACTTTTCACAGAACTTAGAAATGAAAAGAGGAAGGAAGGCAGAGCTGATAAAGTACATTTACAGATGCTAAATTTAGATGGTTCCACCAGAAGTCCATCTTTCCACTGATAGGTAGATTAGGTGCCAAATGATATATTATAGAAATCAGACTAGATTACTTGGTCCTACTATGTTCCAAGTACATTATTAGAACCTTTATATATGTTGTTAATAAGATTCATAATAGCCATATGTTACAGGTATCATTATTCTCATTTGCAGAAATGGAGCTCCTGGGATAACTGACTTGCTTAGAGTAACACTACCAGCAAATGGTTCAAACTGTGGTCTGATTCCAACACCATTGTTCTTTCCTCTCATCATGCTGCATTTGGAGTCTAATCTTTGGAGATACAAGAGTAGCTTCAGCTATTAGAGTGATAGTGAATTTGGTACAAAAACCCTTATTTGGAAGTTGTTCCAGAAAATGATGCCAGGTCTTTTAGTTCAATGGAATCCCTCTCCTCCATTGTGTAGTTTCTCTCTCTTTCTTTCTCCTCCTCATCTTTTTTTTTTTCTTTCCTTACCTTTAGCCCATGTGACTTTCAAGGAAAATAAAATCCGTATGTTTTTATTCATTTGGCCTTAACTCATCAAAATATGATTTTGAGAGTAGATTTGCAGAGAAGTGCATTTTAAAGCCCTTTCTCCCTGGAAAACAGGATGTCTACTGTGGCCAAAATCATAAAAACTTCAAACTTTAAGTGTTAGAGTTCAGCTTAATACATAGAAATAATGTGATTTGAGGGAGCTGTAATTTTAGACTAACACTTTGCTGCAAGCCAAGTACTTGAGGATATGAGCCTACATTAGTGCTATCAAATGAAGGCCTTTTAGGTGCCCAGTTAAGTAAATTTCTTCTATTACCATCATCATCATAAAAGATATTAACATTGTGGGCAAAATAGCGTTCATATTTTAGGATAGGAATGAATGTCAGAAGACACATCACTCAATAGTGTGTTTCTGGATGAGCAAACTGAGGCCCAGAAAAGTATCGGGGTGTGTACAGGTTGTAGGGCTAAATCTAAGCTCCTGGTTCCTGAACTCCAAGTTCACTGCTCCTTCTAAACCATTTCCTTGGCTTGCTATAAAAAATACACATGACATTACCTTACTTTTAGTCAAAATCTCTCCAAAATATACACCATCTTTGAATCAGATGTTGCACTACAAATGAAAAAAAAGGTATTTCTTATCTCTGGGATAAAATAAAATCCCACTTTGTCTACCAGCATGAAAAACAAGCCTATATACTGTTTACTTAAGAAAATGACTCTTGAACCTCACCCACCGTGGGGTACATCACAGAGGGCAGTCAGTGTTTCTTTATGCATAAAAAGTAGAAAACTAGTAGATAAAAAGAACTAATCTGTACCAGGCACCTTATGTATATTTCAATAATAGTAACAACAATCGCTATATTAATAACTAATAATTCATAGGTAATATTATTTTTGAGTAAGGGTTTTGTAGTCAGAATCATTTCTGGGTGTGTAATAACTATGTAATCCTAGGCAAGGATGACCTAGGTTATCCTAGGCAAGTTGAACTTCAGTATAAAAATCTTTTAACTAGAATGAATAGCTATTCTCACTTTAGGGGTGTTGTGAGGATTAAAGAATGCCCATAAGCATGTATCAAATGTACAAAACGGCAAATTGATTTTGATGGTGTTGAGAGCTTACAAGGTACCAGGTGCCTTGCTGAAAACTTTACAACAATTTACCTTAGTCTTTACACCAACACTATCGAATAGTTATTATCCTCATTTTTGGGGTGAAGAAACTATTGTTTAGAGAGATGAATAAGGGTCATAACAGAGGCTCCAATTGAAAACTGGCTTCGTAGCATGCCCCTTTAACCATATTACTCTATTTTTTATCAATATATTAGATCATTTCATTTAGAGGTCAATTCCCTTGTGATGTAGACACTTTTATCTCTATATTATAGACTTTTAAAATGCAGCTTACATTTAGAGTTTAATATTTAGCTCATAAGGTCATTAAGTAGCAAAGTGAAAATCAGCATTCTGTTTTCAGATTTCAAGGTCTGTCCTTACTGCAGTGTATAATCCTGCTGCCTCTTGGGGAAAGTCTGATCAAAACATGGGGCCCTAGAAAGTCTGAATATATCTCTATATATATTCCAGGGATTCGTTGGAGGTTAGGAACTGGATACCACACTGGAGAGCATGAGCCCGTATCTGCTGGTCTTAGATCTTCCTGACCTCCTGCCGAGCCTCATGCAGCTGTTAATTGCTGTCACATCTTCTGACTTGAACCGCAAGGCTTTTATAGCTCTAGCAATTTATCTAAATTTGATCTTCCTCAGAAAATTAAAGTGGCTTCTGTATCCTAGCCACCTTGTCTAGACCAAGTCTTATGGGAAGGTTGTTTCTCATGGCCACAGCTTACGTGGCAGACCCTGAGACATGAGCCTGTCTGACTGTGATGCTTCCACTTTCAGGGATCATAAAAACATTTTCTTATTACTTTCTTATCTTTGTTATCAGTTTCATCCTTGCTGTGTGGATTCATTGTTATTAGGAGTTGGAATAGAAAAGGAAAGAGCTTAATTTTCTTCAAAGTTTAATTAAATGAGTATTTACTGAGTGTTTACTCCGTGTCAGGCCAATGCTAAGTACTAGGGATGCCGAGGTTTTAAAAAATGTAGATAAATAAATTGTCTTCTTTCCTCAATGCTTCAATCTGATTCCATTCAGAAACACAGAACTTACCTAGGAAGTTTAATGGAGAGAACTTAGCATTGAAATGGTGACAAACTTGATGGAAGAGCTGAAAGGGGAAACAGGGACAGTGAGGAGACCTAGTGATTAGAAACTTTCATGCCTAGGGCTGTGGGGACCAAGGGAAATGATGTTAGCAGAACCCAGGAAAGAAGAGCACTATGGCAATAGAGTGACAGACACCATTTAAGACACTTTATGGACTAAAGAAGGGAAGAAATACCCTGGCATCTTCCCTCCTTCCATCCTCCAACCTCTTGCCAGTGGCTCCCATTGCCAAATTGAACCAGAGGCCAGTGGGCAAAGGGGCCTGGGAAATAGAGTTTATAGGGCTCAGTTCCTGCACTGCAAAGCCCAGCAGGGTGGGAAGTGGATGACCCTCAAACTTCTCCATTTCCTTTTCTCTGTCCCTGCCACCTTCTATTCCTCACCTTTAAATCATGAGATATTGAAACAGTATGATACAGTTAAGAGGTCTGTCCTATCCCTAACTGCAAATCATTCCGTTGCCTTCAAAATCAAAGCCAAACATCTTACCATGTGCACATAGCCCTCTTTGATCTGGCTCCTTCCTACCACTCCTATTTCACCTTCTACCAGTTTCCTAACACCACCTCCCTCTTATGAAACCAGGGTATATACCTTCCTTCCTTCTTACCCACTTTCCTTTGGCCAGCTTGTTTTCCATGAATGTCTGGATTTTCCTCTCTTCATAGAATGTTTATTTACCCAACACACTTTTTAATGGGTTCTATTATGTGTCAGAAACCATGAAAAAAGCAGCAGTAAGGCATGATTCTTGCTCTCAGAGGGATTCTCATCTCTTCCTGCCTCTTGGAGCACTAGATTTGGGTGAAACAGAACATTGACACAAAGCAGACAGAGCAGGAGAGGCAGGGAACACAGCTTGGATCTTGAAGGTATTTCAAAGATTAAACTAGGGAATTAGGTTCAACTATCAGTTTCAAGAGGTAAGCACAGATCAGAAATTTGAGATAAAGCTAGGGGTATAAAGGTCAGTCGTCACTAGATGGGACCAAAGCAAGGGAGTAGAAGGCACTTGTGATAAGTAGGCTGGAAGTAGTTGGGGCTCATTTTAACTGACTCAACTTAACATGATAGGCTGGTCTGGTTTAAAGGCATAGGGTTGGCTTCACCATTCACAGGATGGTAGGGATTGTCTGGAAATGCATATTCCTTTAAGCCAGGGGTGAGCCAACTTTTTCTAAAAGGGACAAATAGTAAATATTTTAGGCTTTGCTGAAAACATGATTTCTGCTGCAATGACTAAACCCTGCCATTGTAGTGCAAGAGTAGCCACAGACAATATGTAAACAAATGAGTGTGTCTGGGTTCCATGAAAATAATATTTAGAAAAACAGGCAATGGCCTGTGGGCCAATCTCTGCTAAGCCATCAGGCCTGTCTCCATGCTTTATAACTGGTACTGTATAGGTGAGCCCCTGGAGCTCTCGGATCGCACTCAGATCCAATTCTGAGGCCTTGCCTTAATTCGTTTTGTACTATTAATTTTGTACTTCCCAGCCTGTTCCTGGTCTTCACTTCTCACCTCATCATCATTTATTTATTGTTAATAGGTCTGCCTCATTGTTTGGAGCTGATGTTCAACATTGCCTCTCTATCATGGATATACTTCTTCCTATTTTGAAAATTCCTCTCCCATTAACTCCATGTACATTTACTGAATTTGTACTAAGCATTAGGAATTAAACCAGGTGCTTTATGTATATTTAATATGTATTGAATGATTTGATGTTTACATCATCATTGTAAGATAGCTATTACTACTTAATTCAACAAATGACTAAGTTGAAGTTAAGCAATTAAATACTTTATTCAATGGCACAGCTAGTAGATGGCATAGCCAGAATTTTAAGCCATGTATATTTAAATACAAAGAACATTTTTTTTTCTCTTCCTATACCATTAAATTGCATCTCCTTTTTTTATGGGAGCACAAAACTTTGGCAATGGAATTCACATGGTTTCTCTGTAAAAATCAACAGAGATATATGGAGAGAGACGACTTTGTATAAATATCACAGCAATAAACTGGGAGTCATGTCCACTGGGATTAGTCCTGGATCACTCATGAACTGGCTGCATGACTTTCACTTCACTAGGACTCCTCTTTGAGCCCCTGGGTCCTTTGAAATTTCTCCTTTCTTGCCTTCTATTGGAATGATAAGTTGGCCTTGATCCTCATATTTTTGATACTATATTTTGAAATTCTACAAACCTATTCTTTTAATAGTTATCCTTAAGAGTTTAGCATATTAAAATTAATCAGCATCTACATCCTGTTCTCAAAAGAGATGTGGACCTGAGCATGTTTTAATATCTCTCTTCTAACATTCTACCCCAACCGTCATGCTGTTATTGTCTAATTTTATAGTTCCAGCTTATTTAATACACTCACATAAATATTATTATTTTTGTTGTCTTTATATTATTTATATTCAATAATTATTTAGATTTACCAATCAGTTTGCCAATTTTTATTTTTCTCACACTTACTTCTTACATTTACTCCTAATACATTCACTTTTTTTTTCCAGCAAAGCTCAATAGACAGTAAAGTGGGTGTAAAGTGGTATCTTGGTGGTTACTTGGTTTTTAAAAAAATATGTACTTAAAAGCAAACTCTCTTTTTTTTTATTGTTGCCATTCTTTAATCATTTGAATATTTTAAGCACTTCTGCATCATATTCCTTTTCTGATCACTATATTAACTCTACTTCTACATATATAATTTTTCCCATTTTGGAGAATTTGTGATCCCTTTGATATGCATTGACTTCTATTTACGTTTTGGAATTTTGCTCTATGAGCTCTCCTTCTGCATAAATTATCACCTATAGGATTTTTCTTCCATGTTCACACTGGGTCCTGGACTTTTTATCTGGATTGTCACCTCAGTATCATCCCTGCCCTTTCTACATTCTCTACTGCATCTAAGAGTGAAGTGTAAAAGTTACATTTCCCAGAATCCTTTAGGGGGATTTTGACAATGAGAAGGACTCACATAGGATTTGGAAAGTAGAAGAAAGAAAGAAGTCATAACTCTTCAGCCATATTGCTGCAGGAAGATGCAAGAGCATCTGCAGAAAAGGGATGGTTGTCCCAGTGCCTTCTAAAGATCCTCCTGAGCAAGGGTCAAGCAAACATTTTCTGTAAAGAACTAGATAATAAATAGCCTAGCCTTGCAGGCTATGTAATGTCTCTATTACATATTATCCTTTTTCTTTTCTATTTCCCTTTATAAAGAGCTTTTTTTTTTTCAATTCATGAGTAGCCAGCAATACAATAGCAGACTGTGGGCCCACCGGCCATAGCTTGCTGTCCCCTGCTTTAGAGTGTGACTCACTTCAGCCCTTCGGGCAACAGGACTCACTGGTAGCAATGTACATGCCATTTCTGCACTCCAGATCTCCTGAAAGCCAGTAATTGTCTTCCTAATGTTGATCTCCAAGTTCTTCCAAAGGCTATGGAGAATCCTACATTTCCTAAAGTAGCATCTGGTTTCCTGTCCCAAGCCTACAAGGTGCTTTAATGGTTGCCTTTGACCAGACACTGTAGAGTACATTCTCTCTAAATTGATTTCTATTTTAGTTTATAAACTTTCGATTTGGCACACTGATAAGCCAAGTCAATTGTGTCTGCTAAGGCATAATTTTAAACTTTCAATTTCATGCTATATTTCCATCCTTAGCCAAGATGGATAGGCTTACTTTTGGCTATGGCCTGGTGCTAATTGTTAGAGATTTTCAGATCCTCTTTTGAGGATGGAAAGCCTATTTCAATTTCTAAGTCTATGCAGCAGTCCTAACTTCAGCTCCCTATAGTGAGCTGAATCTTGGGACCCAATTCGTCCCCAAAATCAGCATTGAAACTTTAGTTCCTAAAGCTTTCACTGGGCCTAATCCCCTCAGGAATAGTTCGTCTTCAGCTTCCATTTACCACAATGGTTCTTTCTAAATTTCTGGCATTGGAAACTTCCCTTCCTTGCTTTGTAGTTGGGTTATGTATTTTTAAAAAATGTTTCATCCAGGATTTCTATGAGTTTGAACTGTGGAGGGAGTAATTCTAGCATGTTCTTAGTCTACCCTCTTGACCTGGAAGTCTAGTGTTCACATCTGTGAAGTAAGAGGGTTGTGTTTAATGATTCCCAGAGTCCCTTCAAGCACTGTGCTGTTCTAAGTTGCTACATCTAGGCATATTGTGTTTATACATAAATATTACTGCCAACACTCAGACACATATGCTGGCCTGATGGTTATTTATCACTGAAAGAGGACCGTTAGGGGGAAGTTAAACCAGCACACATTTTAATATTTGGCAACAAAAAGGAAAAAAATGTGGCCAACATGTTGTATGCAATGATAAGATTCATCATGTTTAGCAATGTTAATGAATTCAAAAACACACTCTCCATCATCTATTGTTTACAAAGCTACTATTCATTTTGGGAAGACAAAGAAGTATTAAATAGCACAAAACAAACCACACTTAATACCCAGATTCTATGTTTCCCAAGTGTAGCAGCCTATAAGGAGGTAGATTAAAGGCTGTTTGTAGCAGAAGTTCTAGGCTTCTACATAGTTCTCATCTTCTCAGAAAGCTCATCCTTTAATTCATTCATTCATTCATTCACCATGTATTAACTGCATGCCCAACATATGCCAGGCATTGGACTTGGTGCTGGGGATACCAGAGTACATGTGACAGTCAAACCCCACTCCTCATGGAACATATAGTCTACCAGGAAAGATGGCTATGGAAGATATGTTACAAGGTTGTTGAGTGAGACAAAAATTAAGTAAAGTGTGTCAGGGAACTGTATAAAAGGGAGAGCTCAACTGATTTAGGAAGTTCCTGAAGTGTTTCCACTTGTGAAGAGTTTCCACAAGTGAAGTTCAGGCTGAGACCTGAAGTCTGAGTATTAGTCAGACAAAGATGTCTCTAAGCACAGGAAAGGCTGGGGGAAAGCCTAGAGAACAAAGGAGAAAGTGGAGCCTGAAAGGGAAGGACAGATACCAGTTCTCAGAAGGTCTTATTGCTATGCTGTTGCAGGAAGTCAGGGACCCTGAACAGAGGGACTGGCTGAAGCCATGGCAGAAGAACATAAATTGTGAAGATTTCATGGACATTTATTAGTTCCCCAAATTAATACTTTTATAATTTCTTACGCCTGTCTTGACTGCAATCTCTGAACATAAGTTGTGAAGATTTCATGGACACTTATCACTTCCCCAGTCAATACCCTTGTGATTTCCTATGCGTGTCTTTACTTTAATCTCTTAATCCCACCATCTTTGTAAGCTGAGGAGGATGTATGTCGCCTCAGGACCTTGTGATGATTGTGTTAACTGCACAAATTGTTTGTAGAGCATGTGTGTTTGAACAATATGAAATCTGGGCACCTTGAATAAAGAACAGGATAACAGCAATGTTCAGGGAACAAGAGAGATAACTTTAAACTCTGACTGCTGGTGAGCTGGGCGGAACAGAGCCATATTTCTCTTCTTTCAAAAGCAAATAGGAGAAATATCGCTGAATTCTTTTTCTCAGCAAGGAATATCCCTGAGAAAGAGAATGCATCCCTGAGGGGAGGACTCTGAAATGGCCACTGTGGGGACGGCTGTCTTTTACAGTTGTAGCGGAGGGATGAAATAAGCCCCAGTCTCCCGTAGTGCTCCCAGGCTTCTTAGGACAAGGAAATTCCCGCCTAATAAATTTTGGTCAGACTGGTTTTCTGCTCTCAAACCCTCTCTCCTGATAAGATGTTATCAGTAACAATGCGTGCCCGAAACTTCATTAGCAATTTTAATTTCACCCCGGTCCTGTGGTCCTGTGATCTCGCCTGCCTCAATTTGCCTTGTGATATCTTATTACCTTGTGAAGCTTGTGATCTCTGTGACCCACACCCTATTCATACACTCCCTCCCCTTTTGAAAATCACTAATAAAAACTTGCTGGTTTTGCAGCTTGGGGGGCATCACAGAACCTGCCGACATGTGATGTCTTCCCCCCGGACACCTAGCTTTAAAATTTCTCTCTTTTGTACTCTGTCCCTTTATTTCTCAGACCGGCCAACACTTAGGGAAAATAGAAAAGAACCTATGGGAAATATCGGGGGTGAATTTCACCTGATACTATGGTTTAAATATGTCCCCCAAATTTTGTATGTTGGAAACCTAATCCTCAAATTTGTATGTTGATGACATTTTGAGGTAGGGTCTTTGGGAAGTAATTAGGATTAGACATCATCATCAGGTTGGGGACCTTATGATGAGACTGGCAGCCTTTTAAGAAGAGAAAGAGAGACCTGAGCTGACATACTTTTGTCCTCTCACCATGCAAATGCTTTCCACCATGTTATAACACAGCAAAAGGCCCTCACCACATGCCAGTGCCATGCTCCTGGACTTCCCAGCCTCCAGAAACATGGGCTAAATAAACCTCTATTCTTTATAAATTATGCAGTCTGTGATATTTAGTTATAGTAAAAGAAAATAAAAGATATTCATGAATGCTGATTTCGGGCTTCATCCCAAATGCAATGGGAAGCCACCCATGAGTTCTAGGTAAATAAGTGATACTGTTAGGTAAAATGGTCACTCTAGTACCAGTGAGGAGAGTGAAGAAAAGAAGGTAAAGTAGAAAGCTTCTAAGGTGGTCCAGGTGGTAAATTATGTCATGATTGAGGGTAGTGCAAGTCGGGGAGGAAAAGAACTAGGTAAATTTTTAAGAGGTAGAATGTCTGTCTGTCTGTTTGTTTGTTTGTTTGTTTGTTTGAGACAGAGTCTTGCTCTTTCACCCAGGCTGGAGTTCAGTGGCGCCATCTCAGCTCACTGTAAGCTCTGCCTCCTGGGTTCACACTATTCTCCTGCCTCAGCTTCCCGAGTAGCTGGGACTACAGGCGCCCGCCATCACGCCCAGCTAATTTTTTGTATTTTTAGTAGAGATGGGGTTTCACCATGTTAGGCAGTATGGTCTCGATTTCCTGACCTTGTGATCCGCCAGCCTCAGCCTCCCAAAGTACTGGGATTACAGGCGTGAGCCACTGCACCCGGCCAAGAGCTAGAATGTAAAGAACTTGAACTTGGAACTTAATTAAATGAGAGGTTTGAAAGAAAGGGAAGACTGCCAGTTTCAGTAGTTGTATAGATGGTGGTTCTATTTACTTGGAAAGGGACACACTGGAAAGAGAGAGAGAGAGAGGGAGAGAGAGAGGGTGGGGAGAGAGAAAGAGAGATAGAATGGGAGAGAGACGAGGGATGGGGAAAGTTAGGCAGAAAGAATGGGAGAGATCTGCTTTTAAATGTATGTTCTGCCACTTCCTTGTCATGTGCATACAGAAAAATTAGAAATTCTTGAGTCTTAAATTCCTCATCTGTAAAAGGAAGATAATATTAGCTTTTAAAGTAGTGTTGATGCTCAATGAAAATTAAATATTAAATGTACGATGACTATCATAAAATGTTCAATAAATCAGACTTCTCACCTATCCTCTACCTTGTCAGTCATAATTGTCAGATTGTTACTTGAGGAAGTATTGAATAATAAGCATTCAAGCCTGGACATGAGAAGAGGTATACTTATCAATAAGTTGCTATGTGACATTGGGTGGGTGACCATCTCCCTCTGTGTCTTCTTCTATGTGGTGAGGAAATCAGTCTGGATGATTTAGTGAGTCAATGATACTGCAGTCAGAATGTCTACACGTCTCAGAGTATCTCCCAATATCAGCAATCCTCTGGAGAATTATCTCGTGGGCACAGGATTGTGGGGAATATAAAAGGCACAGAGAAATCTCCCATTTCAGCTTCAGTCAGGATGACATGAGTTATCTTCTCAGCAAGCAGCTTTCCTTTATTGACGGCAGTGACAGGCCAATTGCCCTGATGTACGCACACTTCACTCTCCTTGTCAGACTGTAACGTGAGAGATATGTGTATTGGTTTCTTAAAACCGACAGATTCATGAAATGAGAGTGCCTGGGAGAGAAAACACATGAAAATGGAAAATGCCACAAAGCTATATTTTCAGGACAGTACAGAGAAGCAATAATCTGTTTTTCATTACAGACAAGAATGTTTTCCTAGATGGTGTAGGCAGACTTCAGTATAGTATTCTAGAATGAGGGGGTTGGCCAATGTACACTGTCCTGGTCAGACCACAAACTAGGGATCATGTCTGAGAGCTGTCGTGTGTGAAACCTCAGGCTCTGGAATCAGATGGTCATGAGTTCAAAATACGACACTATTGTTTTCTAGCTATGTAACTCTGGAAGGGTTGTTTAATCTAAGCCTCAGTTTTGTCATATGAAAATAGAGATAATAATCATAACACCTTCCCCATAGGTTCTTTGTGAGGATTAAATAAGAGAGTGTAAGT
This sequence comes from Homo sapiens, assembly GCF_000001405.40. Taxonomy (NCBI): domain Eukaryota; kingdom Metazoa; phylum Chordata; class Mammalia; order Primates; family Hominidae; genus Homo; species Homo sapiens. The sequence goes on along the minus strand of NC_000001.11, from coordinate 55,993,545 downwards.
AAGGGAATTAGCAAACAAGTGTGAAAGAGACTGGCAAGGCCTGTTGCTGATTTTGGACAACAAAAGATTCAGGACCTTGTCCCTTGTGGAATCATTATATTAATTTACTGAAGGTACTTGGCTGAGAGAAGAGCATGCACAGAATTTATGATTATAGGATTTAAAAGACTAAAGAGCTATATTGGGAAGAAAAATAGGCTTGTGAATAGGGTTCAACTACCAGATGGAGAATTGGATTAGATGGTTTTTAATGTCCCTTTTGATTCTGAGGTTCTGGGATTTAATTGAAAATCTGTAAATAAGTTGATTTCTTTTCTCTTCCATTTAGTTATTAGATGAGGAATATATGCCATTTTTGTCAGGTGTATAAGGATAAATAAATAGGTAATATATGGTCTTGGCCCACAGTCTAGTCTGATGTCTGAAAAAGCAGGAGGCAGAGACAGTCAAGAGACTTGGTTTCTATTTTCAAATCCACATTCTATTATTAATGTTTTGTGCAAGTCACTTAACTTTTTAGACCTTAGTTTCTCCCCCTATAAAATGGGGCTAAAATTCACCCTAAAATTTTACAGTTATTTTGACACTCAAGTGAAATAATACATGTGGGGGCACATCAAAATTTGATATAACAACAGAAGGTTAGGTGCTAAGTGGGACTTTTCTTAATTTTCGCAAAATTACTACCAAGACATAAAGATGAGAACAAAGAACTTTTAAGTGTCCCATATCCACATTTTAAGGCAGAAACATGCCACATTTGGGACCCAACACCCTCCTAGGTGGGCTTACTGGGTCCACTATCACCTTCTTTCCAATTTCATAGTAGAAGAGGACTGGGAGAAAGAAGGGGTGTCATTTTTTAGGGAGGTGCTAACTTCTCCTTTCACCTCATGAAAGTGTTGCTTTTTCCTACAATACAGGGAAAAGAGACCCAGGAAAAGTGCTCAAAAAGTGTAAAGATGCTCAGTTTGTGTCCCTGTCACTAAGCTAGGGATTACTTCTCTCGGGGTTGCTTAGACAGTGAGTCAGCAGAGTGCCCAATATTGTCAGGGTTTGGAGAAAGATAGGAGAGAGATGGGGGAGCTGAATGTCAAAAGGCCATCATCATCAAAACCATGTGGATTTCCCTTCATCAGAGAGTGGCTGAACTCCAGCTATTTGACCGGCACCCTGAAGGCAGATACTCAGTAAGCAGGGATACTCCAGAAGCAAGAGACCATGACTGATGATATAGTTTGGATGTTGTCCCACTCAAATTTCATATTGAAATGTAATCCCCAATGTTGAAGGTGGGTGTGGTGGGAGTGACTGGATCATGGGGGTAAATTTCTCATGAATGGTTTAGTACTATCCCCTTGGTACTGTCCTCATGATAATGAGTTCTTGCAAGATCTGGTCACTTAAAAGTATGTAGCACTTCCCCATTTGCTCTCTTGCTCCTGCTCTGACCATGTGACATACCTGCTCCCCCTTTGCCTTCTGCCATGATTGCAAATTTCCTGAGACCTCTCTGGAAGCTGAACAGATGCCAGCATCATTCTAGATGTTCATAGTCCCATGCTGCAGAGACATGTCAATATTTCAACTGCTTTCGCCCTTCACATAATGGGGTTTACAGTTAGTATTCCTGCTGTTTTATTTCTTGATGGGCTGTGATTTAGTGATGACTCTGGGCATCCTTTTTTATTCAACTCTCTAAAATCCCTTTTGGGAGATCATGCCTTTTCTGACCCCCTTTATGGTAGCTGGGTTTGGCCTAGGGATTGGGGAATGAGAGACTTTCCCATGTTCCAAAAAGAGACAAGCCTTGTGTTTGCTCCTTTTCCATCCCTAAATGCCCTGCCTCTGGCAGAATTCCTGGATTTTCCTGAGTTCATACAGCACCTAATATAGTGATTTGGATACAACAGCTACTGAATAAACTTTTACTGCATAGCAAAATAGGAAGTAACAAAGCCAGATATGTCTGGGTCCAAAGCTGCTCTCCTTTTTCCTTACAGGATATTGCATTTGAGGATACTGTGAGAGCTCTGTCAGAGGCTATCAGAGAAGCTCCCTGCATGACAGCAGAGTGGTCTAGACTGGACCCCAAGTCAGACCAGCCCAAATGAGCAAGGTTTGCAGAAGGTGGTTTGTATAAGAAGACCGAAACAGGGTGCAGCTCAGCGCTTGGGAAAGTTGCAAGGGGCTCTGAAGTGTGTTGTTTGATTTACATTTGTGGGGTTCCATAAATAGGCACTTCACAGATGCAGACTCTCAAAATTCTACCAAGAACCGCACAATATAGCTGACCACACTGGTCTGCACTTGATAAGTGAGGAAATAGAGGCTCAGAGAGCCAGAATCACATATATAATTACTACCAGAGCTGGAATTCCAATTCAGGCTCATCTAATTTGAAAGCCCATTCTCTTTACACCACACTTCACTAAGACCAAGTCAGCCCTGCCCCTGGGGAGAAATTCCCTAAGCCTTTAGCAGAGATCTTGATAGTCCTAATGTATTAGCTTCTCTAATACATGTTTATAATTCTTGTTGTTGTTTGCTGCTGATGTTGTTGGTTGTGTCTTAAGGGAAGGGCTAGGAGGGCTTACTGAGAACACTATCACGTTCTTTCCAACTTTACAATAGAAGAGGACTGTCTCAGAAGAGAATCTGGGGCTCTTCTGGATGTTGTGGGTTTCACCATTGGAACTGATGATTCTCATGCAAGAGAAGACCCTCCCTTCCACTGTGGGCACTAAACTGCAGTTCTCTAGACGTCTGGACAGGAATTTCAGCACATGCTGGAGGGCCGCTCCCACAGAACTTGTATCTTTTACTTCAGCAGACTCCTGGCTGCCAGTTCTGTATCTCTTTCTTTTTCTGGAACCACAGAAGATCACATTGTCCAATGTGCCAGGCTAGAAATACTAGGGGATTAAGCTGCAGCTCCATGTTGAGGTAACTGACTTAATAGTACACCGTTTAGTGACTATCTTCCTTCCTCTGTTTTTCTTCTTTTGTTTGTCTACCGTTGTCTGCATGAACAAAATAATCCATTTGTACCCAAATATTTATATCAGGCTCTACTTCTGGGAGGGCCAAAACTAAGACTAAGAGCCATGGTTTCATGTTTAACCATGCGATAAAACCTTGTTCTATAAGAACAATTGCTTTCATTCTAGGGCCCCATTCACATAGCACGGAAAACAGTAACGATGTAACTGTTCTGTAATATTTCTGTGCAGAGAATATGCAAAACAGTGTGGGCGAGGTTCTTTACCAAAACAAAACAGTGCAGACCATGTGATCTCTGGCTCTTTTACTGCATAATCTGGCTTTGGAGACATTGCTACACATTCATGCTGAATGTTCTTGCTCTCTCTCCTATTTTCATGCCACTGTGTCTTCATGCATATCCCCACTTGGTTTTGACAAATCTGGCCTCCTAAGCCTTAAAGCCATTTCATTATTGCTGACACCAGTCCATTGCTCAGACTCTAATACCTCACTTTCTCTGGTTATGTAGGGGATTTTCTTATGATCCTGGAAGACATCCTGGGAGATAAAACCTCCGAAGTATCTGGTTTCTATTAGAATCAAGTCTGTAGGATTAGAAGTTTCTTAATGCACAATTATAAAATGCACAACACCAGATGTAGTTGTCCATATCTTCTTTCATATTCCTCCTTTCCTATTATTGCTCAGCTAAATGTTTCCATGGGGAAGAAAAACACTTGAATCTTAAAGTGAACTGTCAGCTGATGTCCCTGAAGTACATTCATGATATTGTTCCCAATGTCCACATGTCTCTGGAGTCTGTATCACATCCTAGAATCCATTCTATGCAACCTCATTAACTGCAAAGGGCATGGGACAAGTTAAAAGGGATCCTGCCTGGCAGGTGAAGCATGGTGTCTGTAAAACACGGTGATGGCTACTATGTCCATTCAAGCTAGTGGGATGTTTCAGATGTATCCTCTAAAGTGGATAAACTAACAATCCAGGTACTGGGAGTGTACCCAGGGGTTATTCAGAAGTCCAGGCTAGCAGATTACATCATAGAGTTGCAGAGGCTAGAAGGACTTTAGGGTTAGAGGTTGGGCTTGAGTCCTGGCAGCAGCTTAATAAAAAGCAGTGGTTCTTCACCTGCATCTGCAAAAGTGAAATGAGGCCCATGAATGTCCTACAGTATTATAGATATTACAGAAAGAGAATTACCACAAAACCACCCAGGCTACTAATGACAACTTCCTTATCTTTATTTTGGAAATGTGGCAGCTTATCATGCTCATATGTTCAGCAGAAACATCAAATAACATTTACATAACTTTTACTAGGAAAAAGCCATGATAATGTAATGATAAACATAAATGCGGTTTAAGTATTATTTATTCCTCCTGTATCTCTCACTGGACATATGTTTCTCAAGGTCAAGTTTCTATCTTAACTTTGCATTCTCAGCACCCACCACAGGAAATGTTATGTAGTAGATGCAGATGAAATACAGTATTTGTTGAATGAAAGTTAAACAAGAAACCATTTGCAACCTCAGCACTTAACACAGTGTTCTAGTAGGCAAGCATTTGTTGAAGGACTGAATTAAGTATACAAAATATTGCACAACAAAAGGACCTGGTTAGTAAATATATTAAAATGGATTATTATATATGTTCTTATGTCGCATGAGCAGGAGTGGGACTAACCACCGGGAAACAAGGGAAGTGGAGTTTCAATCTGAGGAAGAATCTGTACAGTTACAGCTACTGAATAGCAAAACAGAGAGGGGGCAGACACTTCTATTTTCCCTAGCTCCCAAACGCTTCTCACCATTATCATCCACTCACCACTACACTGATTTCAAATATTTCACAGAGCAACCACTAAATGGAAACAGATAATCACAGATAATCCTTATTTTGCAAATATGGAAACAGAGAAATTAAGCGAGCTGGCTCCTATTGCTCTGTGAGGCTGAGAACTTGGAATAAGTGTCATCATTGATCATTCCTCTTCCAGACCACCTAGTTTCTCATTCATGATTATATTTCCCTAAAGGGTACACACTTGAGAGTACTTTTCGAAGACTTAGCTCCAAGGACATTACTAACATTAATGTAAACTTCATCATATAACCTGGGAATAAAAAGCACAATGGGAGAAAATTAACTTCTGAGAGCTGGAGGTAATAAGGAACAGTTGAAAGAGGGAGGAGACTAAATTTTATCCCCAGCTCTGGCATTAACTAACTGTGGGGCATTATAGATAAGTCCTAGAACCTCTCCAGACCTCAGTTTCCCCATACCAAAAATGAGGGAATTGTGGAAGTTACTGTCTGTCATATGATATTGTGTGTCTCTTTAAGATTCTGCAAATTTAGGACACATAAAAATATGAAGTCTTGGGAATACTATCCAAGAACCATCAAGAGAGAAGGTAAGCCAAGTTCATAAGACAATTTAATCCTCAGAAGCAAGACTCAGCCAATAGCCAGACAGGCTGCGATTCCCTTTGCTGTGTTTTCCTACTTTTGTGCCAATCCCAAAATGCTAAGTCATTGCTTTTGCTAGAAGGATATTTTCTTATTGCATTCTGAGGATTTGAACAAATATTTTCTTCTTGAGGAAAGCTTTCAGAACATTTTCAAATTGAAGGTTAGGCTTTCACGACAAAAGGAGCCTCCGCTCTGAAAAATTTAACTCCCAGGTTTGGATAGATGCCGCACATGGAAGAGAGAGATCAGCATCTGCTGGGCTACACTTTGTTTGACATAGCCCTTTCTTTCCACCAATACTGAAATGGCTTTCAGCAAAGCCTGTGGGCACTGTGGTTTCCACAGCAGTCCTCTCAGGAGGGGCAGACACTGACAAAGCATTTAGCTTCAGCCTTGTGACTGGTGACATGCTGAAGCCAACCAGTTGGCTACCTACATGGAAAACTATGAGACTCACCTCCCCCCTTACCCTTGTTTTGTAGAGATGCCTGCCTGAAATTCCACTTCTGGGTCCTTATCCCTTTCCTACAATTATGCAGCTTCTTTCAATTGCAGAGAAGGGTCAGCCTGCAAAAACAACAGGTCCACAAACTAAAACGTTGCTTGCTAATAATTTTATGAATCAATCCACAAGAAGTGGGCTCCTATAATTCCCTATTATTTAAAAGCATTTATTATGCTTTTAAATCACTTCTGAATTTTTTTATTTTTCTTGATTCCAGTTAGTAGATGGAAAAAAATATATAAGCTCTAAGGTGGTAAATGATTAGAGTTTTTTCACACTGCTGAGTGAAGGGTGTCACATTTAATGCAGCTCTGCATAAAACCAGGCTTCAAAGGTGGCTAATCATCTAGTTGTCAATTCATCATTTAGGTAGCAGAGAAAATAAGCTTCACATTAATGTGTATTTACCCTTTATAAATATTGGCAAACATTATCTCTTCTAAAAATTCTTCTCTGAATTCCCAGAATGAAGAGTTTTTCTCTGACCTGTGTTCCCAGGGCAGCCTGAACTTTCCATGGTCACTTACCAAAATATATTAAAATTGTGCCTCTGTCTCTCCAGTTGAGAGAGAACAGCCATGTCTCACTCAGGTTTGTACCTTTCACCTCCTTAGAGACTTTGCTCAAATGCCACCTTCCCAATGAGACCATCTTATTTAAAATTTCAACCTATCCTCTGCCTCTTTTGTTTGTTTGTTTTCCCACAGCAAGTTTACTGTCTGACATATTTAATTATTTATTTATTTGTTTACTTGATTTATTTTTATTGTCTATTTTCCTCCTCCAGCTAGAGTGTAGACTCTACAAAAAGTATTCTTTGTTCATTCCTATATCTCAAAAACCTAAAATAGTATCTGGTATATAGTAGGCCCTCAATGAATACTTGTTGCATAAATGAAAAGGAAAAAAGAAAATATCTTAGGGTCCTTCCAGTAAAATGTTAGAATTTTTTTGTCCCATTGTGGTAAAGTTTGGAAGATTAGATTAAGTAAAGTTTAAGAAGCACATTTATGAAGTAAGTAAAGAAAGGATATTGTGTTTTTTTAAACAAAATTTTTTCATCCCTATCTAACGGACCTCAAATGTGGAACAGGTATTTGATTCAAATAATGTGAAGGAAAAACTATGAGAGCAGTGACTTTAGTTAAGGTTTAATGAGCTTCAAAGATCACTCCATGAATTCAGAGGACAAAGGGTCAAAGAAGATATTACAAGATTTCTTTCAGAAGAAACTAATTGATCTTTTCAAGACTTCCCCAACAGACAAAGAAAAGCCATTATGAGCAAGATAGATATACAGAGCAGCCTTTCCACTAATCCCTTTAGATTTTCCAAGAAAAAAAAAAGTTCTTCATGGCCAAATCATGTTGGGAAACCTTGTGTATTTCACAATTCATTATACTATGATAAAGGATTTGAAATGTACTGCAAGAATTTATTTTTGTTTAGCTTAGTGTTTTATTTGACCTCAGAAGCCTTTTTATTTTTTTACATATTGTACAAATACACCCCTTTTGCTTGTGAAATTTTTCTTAAAACCCTCTTTTCGGCTGGGTGCCGTGGCTCATGCCACGTGTAATGCCACTTTGGCTCATGCCAAAGTGTAATCCCAGCACTTTGGGAGGCTGACCGGGTGGATCACCTGAGGTCAGGAGTTCGGGACCAGCCTGGCCAACATAGAGAAACCCTGTCTCTACTGCAAATACAAAAATTAGCTGGGTGTGGTGGCATGCACCTGTAATCCCAGCTACTCGGGAGGCTGAGGCAGGAGGATTGCTTGAACCCGGGAGGCAGAGGTTGCAGTGAGCCAAGATCATGCTACTGCACTCCAGCATGGGCAACATAGCGAGACTCCATCTCAAATAAATAAATAAATAACCCTCTTTTCGTCCCTTCTACCCACATATGGCCTAAATCCCCCTAAATTAATCTTAACTCCAGAGCTAATCTATTGATGACTTCTGGAGAAATAATATATCTGGAGAAGGTTAAATCCAAGGATGTCAAAATCTAATAATTATTTATTAAGAAACTGCTTTAAATGAGGGCCCAGTAGTAAGCTCATATAACTTTCTATGTAATATTAGGATGAAATACAGATAGAAATGCCATATTACCTGGAAGAGGATGGTGAGGATTATTAAGACATACCATTAAGATAAACTCAGTTTAAAGATATACTAGGATCCTAACCACATGGGATTAGTAAAGAGAGAAATGAAGAGATAGAAGGAGAGAGAGAAAAGAAGATATAGAATCCCTTCTATATAGCTATAGAATGGATTGAATGAATTTTGGAAAACTGATTTGGCTCTAAGGTTTATCTTTTAGAAAGTGGTCAGTAATTCCATATTCAACATTTAGAGAAGTATGAGTGCATGATTAATCCCGACAGGTATCAACAACCCTCGGACTTTCATCAAAAAGGATAAAAATGGTATTTATTTATTCAGCAAATATTTACCAGTGTGCAGTAGGCACTTGCTAGGGATATAGAAAACAATAATATAGCCTTTATTCTGAAGACCACAGTCTAGTAGGGAGGAAACACTTGACAATCAACTTAATACTCCTACTCCTTCATGGTAAATTATACTTTTTCATTTGAGCAATTTCTCAGGAATCCATGTGGGATTTCAGGAAGTAGGTGCTACTAAAAGTCAGAAGGAACTTGACCATGAATCCATTCCTTCACATCAGGACCCCGACTTCTGGAATTTGAGGAAGGAATCTTTTTTAGGGAGTATTACCAATGGAGCTTCAGCAACCAGGTAGGCACTGTGGTGGGCATCACAAATATAATATCATATTTAATGCTCACAACAATCTTTTGAGCTACATATTTTGAAGATGGGGAAATCATAGTTCAAGACGGGAAGTAATTTTTCCAATGTTCTACCATGTGTAAATTCCAGAGTCTGACATCTTTATTGAGTTTGGTCTTCATGATCTGTCATGATAAACTATCCCAATATCAGTAAGTCAGAAAGTTCCTCAGGTATAAAGTAAGATTGAGACATTTATGCAATCAGGGTAGCACAGATTTTTACAGTTATGTTGGTTTATGTGGAAATGTAAGGTGCTTAAATAGATGCTAGCATATTAGAACCTGTGGAAAATTGGAACCTAAATTAGAGGTGAAAGGTAGATATAGGAAAAGATATAGAAGACTAAGGTCAGCCAAGGTGTAAGTCATAAGAGAAATAAAAGAAAATTAATGTGTTTTTCCCCTAGGTACATAGTGAGTATCTTGAATATGTGATGCTAAATCTCAGTAACATCATAATAAAATATGTAGCACAGCCAGCCAGAAATTATATTAAGACAGCATATTAAAAAGGATCCAATAGTTCAATATCTAGAATATAGCCTCTGTGTACCAAATCTTATTTAACTAATACCTCTTAATTGGCATTTAAGTTGTTTCCTATTGAATTTTTTAACTTGAGACTTAATAAACATATTGAAAGTATTTCTTAAAAATAACTGAACAAATTTGAATGAAACCTTTAAAAACATACTATCAATTAAATCTAAATGTATCTCTTTAACTCATTTTCTCCAGATTAGTCTCTTTTCAATGAAATTCCAAATCAATTTCTGGTCTTTCCTTAAGCTTAGTTGATAGTAATCAACCAGTATGACTAAAAGAATACATAGTCCTTGTTCTGGTCCAGTACAAATCCTTTTTTTTTTAAATAAGATTCTAGTTTTTGTTACCCTTGTCCTCTTGTATATCCCATAAGGTCTTGTTGGTCTTCAGTTTATTATGGAATAATTCTATTCATATTTATGTCTATCTATCTATCTATCTATCTATCTATCTATCTATCTATCTATCATCTATCTATCTATCCATACATACATACATATGACAGTTCGTACTTCCTATATCAGCACTTGATTGACTGTAAGGATAGTCTTTTCTTCTTCCTCTTCCTCTTCCTCCTCCTCCTTCTCTTCTCCTCTCCTCCCCTCCCCTCCCCCCTACTCCCCTCCCCTCCCCTCCCCCTTACTCCCCTCCCCTCTGCTCTTCTCCCCTCCCCTCTACTCTCCTCCCCTCTCCTCCTCTTTCTTCCCCTTCCCCTGCCCCTTCCCCTTCCCCTTCGCCTTGTCCTTCTCCTTCTTCTTCTCCACTTTTTGACAAAATCTGGCTCCATCCCACAGGCTACAATGCAATGGCATGATCTCAGCTGCAACCTCTGTCTCCTGGGTTCAAGTGATTCTCACGCCTCAGCCTCCTGAGTAGCTGGAACTGCAGGTGTGTGCCATCACACTTAGCTAATTTTTGTATATTTTGTAGAGATGGGGTTTCACCATATTGCCCAGGCTTGTCTTGAACTTGTGAGCTCAAGCAATCTGCCTTCCTTGGCCTCTCAAACTGCTGCAATTACATACATAAGCTACCATGCCCAGCCAAGCATAGTCTTTAATTATACTTCAACATGCTTTGCAAAATGCTCGCTGCATGATTTACATATCAATGCCAGCAATTCATTTTTTGTCTGTCTTTCTGAATGTATATCCGTCTGACTTACTCTTCCTTCCTGCCACTGAGCTCCTTGCTGTTAAAGATACTGGTTTTGCAGAAAGGTAAGAAAATGAAAACCCATTTTCCATTGGGTCATCATGATTTTTCTCATGTATCACTTTTAATTATCCCCTGGTACCAAGGTTACTTTTGAAGCATTTTGTACTATTTTCCTATGGGATGCAGTAGGGAAACAGTATACAAATAGGCACATTAAGCCTCTTTCCCCAACTTGTTATACGCCCAGGATGGGTATTTCATAAACTTATGTGGGGATTTCCTTTCCCTGGACTAGAATGATATGTGGATGACTTGAAGGCTGAAAAGTTGGTGTCCATTTTAAACTTTTATGAATATCTATTTATTTTAGTTTAGTTTTTGAGATGGAGTTTCACTCTTGTTGCCCAGGCTGGAGTGCAATGGCATGATCTCGGCTCACTGCAACCTCCATCTCTTGGGTTCAAGCGATTATCCTGTCTCAGCCTCCCAAGTAGCTGGGATTACAGGCGTGGACCACCATGCCCAGCTAATTTTGTATTTTTAGTAGAGATGGGGTTTCTCCATGTTGGTCAGGCTGGTCTCGAACTCCTGACCTCAGGTGATCTGCCCACCTCAGTCTCCCAAATTGCTGAGATTTAAGGTGTGAGCCACCGCAACTGGCCCATGAATATCTATTTTAAGAACATCTCTTTAAAGCTGCAAGGGAGACGGATGGGGAAAAGGATCGCCGCTATTCATTCATATAACTCCTTTAGCAAAACAATAGCCCTTAGCAAAACATTATCCTTAGAAGGAAGTTTAGTTATCATGTTTTGTTACTCAGCAATGACCCAAGTGATTTATCAAAGTACTCTGTTCAGGTTCATGCAGTACTTACTTTGAGATAAACTCTCATAGATAATGTTTTCTCGATCTCCTTTTTTATTGATGTTTCAGTGTTCCTTACAGACTGATGGTCCATGTAACAGTCTGGCTTGCTCCTTCACCTGGTCTGCCCATACCAATGATCACATCTATAGGACTTGCACCTTACTAAACAGTGAGGAAGTCAATGTTATGGACTAAGGACACAGTGTTTCTCTTGGCTCTGTACTAGAGCTAAGGATGAAAAGAGATATATTAGAGATAGAATGTATTATTTGTTACCCTATTTAAATATTGGCTTTAACAATGAGGTAATAATATTATTAGTTAGTGATTCAAAAATGCTGTTCTGTCTCCCTTGCAAAAATATAAGTGTGATAAACTTGGAGAAATAATCAGGTATTAACTATATTTCTCTTTCACTTAAAATTTAGATCATTGCTTCCTACATTGTTTTCCAGTTCCAAATACATTAGTAGATAGTGGCAATTATCATGGAATGAGAGGGGATCCATGCTAGTCCTTGAAAGTGTAAACTCTGGTTTAAACACCCCTCTAAGTTGCAACATAAATAGCTATGAACTGGGGTAAGAAGGTAATTTGAGTAAAAAGCTGTTCCTCCTTATGTGCAAACCGCCATTTAAATGGTCAAAGGAATTTAAAATGGGTAAAAAAAAAAAAGCATAAAAGCCAAAATAAAGGAAGATACCATTCATATTTTAGATACCTCAAGGAATTTCTAGAGTTGGATTAAAAGAAGGCATGGCTCAAATCCATCCTTCCTGATAAAGAAAGATGCCCTGCATTATAGCAGTGAGTAAAAGAGATTCTGGCAAAATCCCACTAGCAGCCCTAACAGACAAGCACTAAAGGTGAGAAGAGACATATTAGAGATAGAATGTGTCATTCGTTATCTCTTTTCAAGCTATGAATCTACAGCAGGGATCAGCAAACTTTTTCTGTAAAGGGCCAGATAGTAAATACTTTGGGCTTTGCTGACCCATGCTGTCTCTGTTGCAACAATTCATCTCTGCCATTTTAGCATAAAAGCAGCCTTAGATGATACATAAAAGAATGAGCATGGCTGTGTTGCAATGTAACTTTGTTTATGGACACTGAGATTTGAATTTCATATAATTTTTATGTGTCATAAAATGTTATTCTTCCTTTGATTTTTTTCCAGCCATTTAAAATATTTTCTTAGCTTGCAGGCCATACAAAAATAGGTGGCAGGCAAGATTTGGCCTACCTGTTGTAGTTTGCCAATCCCCAACCTACAGCATTAGAAAGAAGCTTCGTTTAGTGGCCCCAAGGCATATGGAATATCTCAGGAAGCACTGTAAAAGGCGTGGCACATAGCAGCACCAAGAATAAGACCAGTGACAGTTACATGGTTTGCCTGGCATGGAAACATAGTCAAATGCAAAGCTGGGAAAAGATAATCTATTGCACAATAACCTCAGCAAACATACACACACATTTCACAAATTATTTCTGATAAACAATCTACGCAGGAAAGAGAAAGGCAAGATAAATATACAAACAGACGGAACAAATGCACATGCTACCTATTAAAAAAGAAATACACATATAAGAAAAATTTCAGCTTCATTAGAAATAAAAGGAGAGTACATTGAAACAGGCTGATGCCATTTTTTACTTATCAAATTGATACAAATTAAATAGAACATTATTATCTAGAAAGACTCCTAGGGACACGGTCACTCTCATATCACTGGTTGTAGTCCATAGTGTCATACCATTCAACAAGCTATTCTATTGAGAGCAATTTATCCCATTGAAATGAACAGTGATATAACACAGATTCAAGTGTAAGAATATGCATTATTGCAGTGCTACTACTTATGAAAAAATAGTTGAATCAATTAAATGTTTAATAGTACAGAATTGGTTAAGTATGGTCTATCCTATATGATAGAATGTTATCTGGCCAATAAAATCATTTACAGTTTTTATTTAACATGAGAAACTGTTTATGATTTATTCTAGGTGAAACAAGCAGGTCATAAACAATATATACAGTATGATCCCAGGCATTTAAAAATGTTGTGGTGTGTGGGTATGTAGTATGTGGTATGTAGTAAGTGAGTGCATATGTTTATAAAACAATGAACAAAGATTGGGTGGATATACACGAATAAGTTAATAGTAGTGTTCTCTGTGTGTGAGACCATCTTAGAGAGAGATCCCTATAAAGATTATTGTTTTGCATTTTATGAAATAGAATCAAATGGTATGTATTCTTTTGACTTGCTTTTTTGTGTTTTCAAGGTTAATCAATGTTGATGCATTTATTTTTATTGTTATATGGCATTCCATTGTACAACTATACCACACACACTATTATGAATAGCACTCCTGTGAACAATATTGTATTAATACATGTCTCCTAATGTACATGTGCAAGACTTTGTCTAAGGAATATTCCTTTGGAGTAAAATTGATAAGTTGAAAGGAATAACTACATTTAATTTTATTAGGTTATGCCAAAATGTCTGCCAGATTTTATACTCCCACTGGCAGTATAATGTTTGTTCTTCCAGTTCGGAAAAATGCTTAGCCATTATATAATTTAATATTTCTTGTTTCTTTTTTCTTACTATTGTTTGTCTGAAACTCTTATTCATTGGTTAGACCTTCACATTATATCCTTTATGTATCTTAATCTTTTATATGTTTCATTTTTTGTTTTTTTGTTCTGTTTTGTTTTGTTGTTGTTATTTTTGTTTTTTGTTCCTCTGGGTCACATTTTGGGTAATACTTTTGGCTCTCTCTTCTCTACTGGTTTTCTCCTCTGTTGCATATAATCTGATTTTTAACCATTTGTTGAAGGTTTAGTATTACTAATTACATTTTCCATTTCTCTAAGTTATTTTTTGGTAATTCTCTAAATATGTTTAATCATTCCTCACATCCCAAGTTTCTTATACTTTGCTCAAGTTTAAGCCTTTTTTAATTCTTTGAAAAGTAATAAGGCATTATTATTTTATGCAAATATTGGATACTTTTAATATATAAAGTCTTTGTAGCTCTGATGCTTCTATTCGTTTTGTATGCTGACTTTTGTTCTTTGCATTTTATTTCTTTTTTATTTTGTAATCTTTCACTTTGAGCATATTTTCCTGGAACTTTACCTGTGGGAGTACTTAGTGGTATGAATTGAGTTTTCTGAGAGGGTTTACATTTGATTCTGCTAATTGTTTTAGTTCACTGCAACTCACGACCACTTTAAACTAAATTATCTTTATTATGTGTTTTGTACTACAAAGTAGCAAAAACTGGGGCTGAAAAATCCATGTGAGGATTGATTTATATAAATATTTTCTGGAAAGAGTTTTTTTCTTTTGGTTTATGAATCAAGTCAACAAAGGAAGTCTCCTTCCCCTTCTCTACTAGGAAATTTATTTATCCTTCCACTGAGGGTGTAATTCTTTGAGGATATAGTTTAAGTTGTGGACCTCCTGTTAAACTTTTAAATTTGCCTACAGTATGTATTAGTTTGCTTAGGCTGCCATAACACAATCCCGTGGACTGGGTGGCTTGAACAACAGAAATTTACTTTCTCACACTATTGGAGGCTGAAGTCTGAAATCAGGGTGCCAGCATGGTCAGTTTCTGGTGAGGACCTTCTTCCTGGCTTGTAGTTGGCTGTCTTCTTGGTATACCCTCACATGACATGAGGAGAGAGAGGAGAAAAAAGAGAGAAGGCAGAGAGAGAAAGAAGAGAGAGAGAGAGAGAGAGAGAGGAGAGAGAGATTGAGATCTTTCTCATAAAGGCTCCAATCCTATTGGATTAGAGATCAATTCTTATGACATCATTTAACCTTAATTACCTCCTAAAGGTTCGGTCTCCAAATACAGTCACATTAAGGTTAGAGCTTCAACATATGAATTTGGGGTGACACAATTCACTCCCCAGCACACCCTAAGCTTCAATCTCCTGATTCCTATGCATTGCACAACTATAAAATGGAAACTTAAAGTTACCAAGATGTCACAGAAGCCTTTTATTCATGATGATAGCTGCATCCAGTGCAAATTATGTCCCACAGTTTTTGCTCTCCTTCATGTTTGGCCTCTTCAAATTTCTTACTTTTTTGGCAGTTCAAATATCTATTTATAGAGCCTGATTTTTGGTGGAATTTTCTATCACATCATTTATTTTATGTATTTTTTTCTGCAATTTTTGGAGATGTTGACCACAGATAATGTCCTTGCCTGATTAACTTCAATATCTAAATTTTGTCTGATTGTCTTTTTTCTCTTTCTTGGGTTTAAAAAAATTGATACATAATATTTTACATATTTGTGAGGTACATGTGATATTTTGTTACATGCCTAGAATATGTAATGAACAAATCAGGGTATTTAGGATATTCATCAAATTGAATATTTATTATTACTATGTGTTGGGAACATTTCAAGTCCTCTTTCTCTGTTGCTTTGAAATATATGATACATTATTGCTAACTATAGTCACTCTGCTACAGAACATTACAATTTGTTCTTTTTATTTAACTGTATGCTTGTACCCATTAACCAACTTCTTTATATGCCTACTCCCACCCACACACCCTTCCCAGCCTCTGATATCTGTCATTCCACTCCCTACCTCTGTGAGATAAATGTTTTTAGCCTCCCACATATGAGTGAGAAATTTGTCCTTCTGTTCCTGGATTATTTCATTTAACATAATGACCTCCAGCTCCATCTATTTCTTAGTTTTCAGTTATACAAACCTATTTAACAACATGTCTAGTAAGTTTTTACTGAATGCTAGACATTATGTATAACAAACTATAGATATAAAAACTGTCCACAATTTTTATCCCACAAGCCCTCATTTCTTCAGTGGTTTTCTAATGACTTTTTAAGAGATAAATTTTGCATTTATTGAATTTTTTTTCTTGTTCTTAAAGTATTTGTCTGCTATAAGTAATTCAATTTTACACAGATGTAGAAGTATCAATAATGCATTTAAAATATACTGATTAATATCTAATTCACCATTGTGAGTTATTTTATCTGAAGGGTTATTCTAGATAACCAGACTAACATACTGCCAGAAGTCAATTTATAAACATTTTTCTGAAGAGAGTATTTTTGTGGCTTGTGATATTTTCTGGAGGAATAGAGACTGGCAGTAAAAAGACTCAACTAGATGAAAATAAAGGATCAATAGGCTGATCTGCCATACTCTCAAATTTTTATTCTCAAAATTTACTCTCAAATTTTTAATATGGGCATATTTTATAAGAGCATATAAAATAGGCATAAAGAAGGTGCACAAACATAAATATACACTCAATTAATTATCATGAACTAAGCATATCCATGTTGATACAACCTTGATCAAGAAATGCAACAGTACCTCTACCCAAAAAGCCCTTTCATGCCCTCTCCAATGGCTACTGTTCCTCTTTTCTGAAGGTAACCACTCTGCTGGTATCTTATACCATTATTGCACAAAATAGTCCAATATATGAATAAATCACAACTTATTGATCCATTTTGATGTTTATGAGCACATGATTATTTGTGGGGCAATTATGAATAATGTTTCTGTAAACATTCTAATACATATTTTTTGATATACTTCTGAATTTCAGATTTGTATGTGCTTAGGAATGGAATCATTTGGTCATGTGTTTATGTTCAAGTTGAATAGGTAATGTTAAGTTTTTAAATAGTTTGATTTATAGGACCACAGGCAGTATATGACTGTTTCAGTTACTTTACAACTTCACAAATGTTACTTGGCAACATTTGATATTATCACTCTTTTTAATTTTAGTCATACTAATAGGTGTGTGATGGAATCTCACTGAGGTACAAATTAGTATTTCCTGATTTCTTTTCATATGCTTACATTTTAATTATTTTAATAAAAAGACTATTTCTACTCTCTAAAATATTTATTATTGATATCTGTGGAAATTTCCAAAAATGTGTTTGATGTCTATTGGTGAAATTAAAAAATTTTTAATGTATGTGATGTTTGTCTTAATTTTCTTTTTGTATTCATTTCTAATATAACTGCATTATAATTAGAAAACATTGTAGGTGGTACAAATGTTTGTTATTTATTGATATTTATTATGAAATGGTTTATGGCTTTTGGTTGCTGTATTTCCTAGATGCTTCTTGTGGACAGAAAATAAATTTTTTAAATTGTTGGATCCACTGTATATAAAATCAGCTTGTTAATTTTGTTCACATCTTCTCTATCCTTCTTAATTTTTGTTAGTTTGATCTATCAAATACTGATAGTGTGTTATAATCTCTCACTAAGTTGGTAAATTTGTGACTTTTATCTACAATTATCAATGGTTATTATCAGAATGGTGAGAATATGAGTGACAAGTGTTTCTAACTGGATTGTTTTTGTGCTTCTTGTGCTTTAGGTGTGAGCACATGTGCATTTTCAGACGCCAGGGTGGACTGAGTAGACTCCTGCTCTGCTATGGAGTACTGCAAGTAAGGGAGGGCGTAGGCCTCTTTGGGGAGGTTTCCTGGACAGAGGAAGCACCATGGATGGAAACTACTTCTGGAATGGTAACCCAACAATAGCTCCTGCGTATTCCTAGTTTTCAATGTGAATGGTGCCTCCTTCTGCCAACCACACAGAGCAATACTGCCAGCCCAAACGCACATTCCCAATTCCTGTGTACTACCTGCACGTGTAGTCCTGGCTGGGTGTGGTCCAGCTTTCCTCTTTTCTGCCTCAGCACAGAAAGCTGAAAGAGACAGCTTGAAGGTCAGTACAGGACCAGAATCCAGAGGGTCCAGATGATCTATTCCAACATGTAGAACTGAAGCTGTGGAAAACAGGAGTGTGAAGCCAAATTCCAGGCAGATACCACTGCAATGAATGTTGCAATGAATTATTCACTTATTCTTTTAACAAATATTTCTTGAATTCTTTCCTTTGGCAAGACACCAGGGGAGGATGTGATGCCCCAAGATAATTTAAACAATTCCCTGAGTGCTGAATTCCAAGCCTCAATAAATTGTTCACACAGACAAATAGCAGCAGGGCTTTCTCTGATGAATAAAAACAGAGTAATGTCTTTGTTTTTTAAAAAAAGAAAGAAAGAAAAAACACCTAAATTATATCCGGCTTTTCTGATGTAGCCTCAAGATTACATGGCAAACAATTATTTAACAGAATGAGAGAACTCCAATGGTCTCATCCACCCTGTATGGGCTGATTTTAGAAGACAATAAACAGTGACAATTGTAAAACTTAATGGAATGGAATGGAATGAATGAGATGCCAAGAAACATTCTCAGTCTTCATTTATTGCTCTTGCAACAGCCTTTGAGTTAGGGCCATGTTCATTTGTACCAGATATGATGGCTGTTGACAAACTTTAACAGGAGTTTCTTATTTCTGCTTGAGTGGTTTGTCTACAACTCATCTCCCTACTTCTACTCTGACTCCATCCTCTGGATTTTTCTCAAAACATGGTTCTGGTCACATCACCATTTAGTCCAACTCATCAACAGATGATCATTGTCTATAGCATACAACTTCTTAATCATTATTTCTGCCCACCCTTATCTCACAGTTCACCCTGTTACTTGTCCTGTAGCCTGAGAGCACATGTAACATACAAGATACCGTCTTTCTTCACTACCTTGTCCACATACGCTCCCATTTCTCATTCATTGCTATAACCTCTATGGAATGTCCTATTATCCATCTCTTTATTTCAGATCCCTAAGTAATCAACAGGCCTGTGATGAAGTTTGAACCCAGTTCAAATCGACAGATATTTAAGGAGTGCCCAGGCTTGTATCAAAGAGTATGATGGGCTCTGGGGATGTAAAGATGAAGGAATGAGATAGGTCCTTCTCAAGAGAAGCATACAGTCTAGATGGAGAGACATGCACAGAACATATCCAGGTGGCAGAGAAGTGCCATCCTGACCCTATAGCACAGAGTGATGCGATGGCAGGTGCTTCAGAAGCTCAGGAAGAGTGCACCTTGCTCAGCCTGGCTGAAGGTGTTGCTAGAAGGAAGTATCAGGGCTTGGTGTCAGATTAGGAGTTATCCATGGTACGGAAAGTAGAGAGGGATGTTGTCATGGGCAAGAGGAACATGAACAAAGATTGGAACTTTCTATGACATCTCTTCAACCCCCTTTTATTTCAGAACTGAATTATTTCACCTCAGATGTAATGTTTCATTACATTTTTTGTTGTTGCTTTTACACTGTTACAATACTAACCATAATCAGCCTTATATTTTGGTTCCTTGATTACAGTTATTATTTATTGGGTACCTGGTAATTTCCAGGCCCTGTGCTAAGCCTTACTAAAAGTTGCCTCATTTAATCCTCCCCACAACCTTAAGAGGCAGGCCGTATTGTCATGCTCATTATGTGGATGAGGAAACTGCAGCTCAGGGAAGTAAACTACACAAGGTTGTACAGCTATTTTACTGTGCACAACCATAAGTTAGAGCACTTGATAAATGGTCTCTATGGTTCTGCAGACAGAGATTCTGATCTAGTAAGTTTCAACTGGGACTTGTATGTGTGTTTTATCAAATCACTAAGGTGGTCGAGAGCCATATTTAAAAGATTAGCACTGTTCAGAAGGAAGAGACCTAAGACTTATACCCAGACCTGTCAGCTTCCAGAACCTGTTTCTAGACTTGCCTGCTCTTGGAGAAAGGGAACATGTTACTCACTGTTGTATCTTACAGAGTCACTGACAATGCAGCCTTGCATGTTATAAATGTTAAAAAAAATTTTGACTCATTGCTGGGATTAAAGTAGTGATTCTCAGCTTTTTGAAAGAAGACAACTTTATCTCTCAGTAATGAAATAATTTTGCTTTTATTTCTAATTGATATTTACCTTAATGACAAAGTTAAAAGTTTTTATGATCCTGAGTTTTCTCCAAATTGGATCTTACAAAATTACCATTCCCTTTTATGCTGTCAATAACTTGACACGTATTTCCAGTGCATTAGTCCTACTGAACTAGTGATTTTCCTAAAACATAAATCTGGCCACGTCACTCCACTACTTAAACCTTTTCTATAACATCTCATCACGAAAAGATAATAGCCACCATGTTTAGCCTGAGGTCAAATATTATCTGAAATCTCACCCCATATCCCTCTCCAGCCTTTTTCTCACTATTCCCACCTTTGCGCAATGTGTACTAGAACTCAAAAATATATGTAGTTTCTCAAATTTGTGAAACTGTCTCCTGCCTCTTTGTCTACTCTTTCTTTGACTGGCATGCCCTTCTCTGATTTAATCAACTGACAAATGCCCATTCCTCCTTTAAGACATAATTCAAGTATCTCTTTCTCTGTGCCTAATTCATTGATTCTTTTAAGCAAAAATGATTGTTCTTTCTTTGTTCCATATGTCCCTTATAGCACATTTTGTTTATAAGCCTGTAGTCTCCATTAAAGTAGTAACTCTTTGAGAGAATTCTGCCTTTTCTCCACATCATCACTGTCTAATATAATGCTTGGCACAAAAGGTTGAGTTGCTTTCTGTTGAGTAGATTAATAGATGAGTGAAGAAATGAGTCAAGGAATGAAAGAATGTGTGAATGAATCAAGGTATCTGTCTTTACTTCCCATCTCACATTGAATCCATCAGGAAATTTATTAGCTCTACCTTCAAAAGATTTACAGAACATGATTATTTTTCACCATCTCCACTGCCACCATCCTAGTCCAAGCCACCCTAACCCCCAGCCAAGATTTCTCTAGTAGCTTCCTAATTGTTCTCTGTGCGTTGATCCTTGATCACCTCTAAAGTCTATCTACTCCCAGCATGGAAGCTAGATTTATCCTTTAAAAGTAGAAATCAGATTAAAACTCAGCTTTGGTTTTTGTTTCATGCAGGACAAAAGCTCAAGTCCTTCCAATGGCTTACAGGCTTTATATAACTACAACCTCCCCTTTCAGGCTCCTGCTCTGTCCCACTTGCTTTCTTCTTTTTTTTTTTTTTTTTTTTTGTTTTTGTTTTTTGAGACGGAGTCTCACTCTGTCGCCCAGCCTGGAGTGCAGTGATGCGATCTCGGCTCACTGCAAGCTCCGCCTCCCGGGTTCACACCATTCTCCTGCCTCAGCCTCCCGAGTAGCTGGGACTACAGGTGCCCGCCACCACGCCTGGCTAATTTTTTTTGTATTTTTAGTAGAGACAGGGTTTCACCATGTTAGCCAGGATGATCTTGATCTCCTGACCTCGTGATCCGCCCGCCTCGGCCTCCCAAAGTGCTGGGATTACCGCTTGCTTTCCAATCCCATTTCTTACCACTCTTCCTACCACTTTCTACCACTCTTGCTCACTCTACTCCACCACACTGGTCTCCCTGCTGTGCCCCATCTAGCAGGCATGTTTCCATCCATCGTAAGGCCTTTGCATGAGCCGTTACTGCTGCCCCAAATGCTCTTTGTTCATTGTCAGAATGGCCCACTCCCCTACCTCCTTCAAGTCTGTGCTCAGATTGTACCTTCTTGACTACTCTTATTAATGTATTCTAATTATCTGGGTAATGACTGCAACATAGTAGACACTCAGTAAATATAATATATTTTGAATGAATAAATGAATGCATGACTACTCTCGAATGTAAGCTTCTTAAATGCCCTTGTAAGAATTTTTTTTTTTTTTCGAGATGGAGTTTCTCTCCTGTTGCCCAGGCTGGAGTGCAATGGCGCAATCTCGGCTCACTGCAACCTCTGCCTCCTGGGTTCAAGCGATTCTTCTGCCTCAGCCTCCTGAGTAGCTGGGATTACAGGTATACGCCACCACGCCTGCCTAAATTTTTTTGTATTTTTAGTAGAGATGGGGTTTCTCCATGTTGGTCAGGCTGGTCTTGAACTTCTGAGCTCAGGTGATCCGCCTGCCTCGGCCTCCCAAATGCCCTTGTAAGATTTTTATCATTGCATTCCCCATCCCAAATATAGTACCTGCCGCTTAGTAGGTATTCCATAAATGCTTGTTGAGTAAATGAATGCACATAAATTGGATTTCAATGGATCACATTTGAGGGGAAAAAAAGAAAGCATGCCAGTTAATAATCAGTGTAGTTTATTTAAAATCTCTTGATGTTTATTTTAACAAAAGCCTTCTTGGAATTCTAACACTGAAATAGGATGTCATTGAGGCCTTTGTGGTTTTAGTAGCTGTGACCTTTACCATCATTCTCAGGATGGGAGGAGGAGTGTGCATGCAGGCCTTAATTAATCCAACCCTGGGGCTGAAGTGATGTGCTGACCAGGAAAAAAAAAAAAAAAAAAAAAAGGAATGTCAGGAAAACTCACAGACCAGCTTCCCCAAAATAACCTTGCAATTGTTCCTAAGTATACCAGAAACTCTAATTTAGACAGAGTTTGGGCTCCTCTCAATTGACTCAGCATGCTTTTAGCTACATCAATTGCTTAGCAAATCTGAAAGTTTCCCATGAGAACCTTCCATTAAGTTTTTATTCTGCCAAGCTACAGAAAAGGAAAGGCCTGTGTTTTGCAAACACAGAAAACAGCTTTAACTATATTCCATTTTTGCAGGCTCCTGGGTAAATTTTTAAATCAAGCACTACTTTATGTGATCTGATTTTTGATCAAAATATAATGTCTAACAGGTGGGCTATTTTGGACTCAGTCTCTGCCAGGTGGTGTGAAATAATGAAAAATGATCATGGTGCCTTTATATAAATGGTCACAGGTCATCCTGCTTGACCTGTGGTTCAGACCAGCCTTCATGGAAACCCATGTCCAAACTACACCCACTGCTATAATTGAAGGTGGGTGTTTTCAGAATTGCTTGGCTCAACAAACTTGCTGCTCTTAAATTATTTTGAATTGTGGCTTGATTGACAAGCTTCATAGAACAGAAATTTAATAGCTGAGTAAATAGCTCTACCAGGTTCATGCATGAACCCTTAAGCTTGGCGATTATTTTAAAGCACCGGTAGACACATAATCATGAGCATTCTTGTACAAGACATAATAACTGTAGCCCTGGAAAGTATGATTTAAAAAGATTCATCTTTAGATTCATACTGCAGAGTAGTTTCTAGCACAAGTCCATTACTTGTAAAGATTTAGAAATAAATTTAAAAACTATGATTTTTTTTAGAATTAGTAAAGAAAAAATATCACTTTTTAAAATATAAGTGATTACTTTTTAATATAATATAACAATAATAAGATACTTTTTTCTTACTTTGGCTTTGCAGGAAATTCAGAGACATCCTTAATTGTGGTAATTATCTATTAGCTTAAGTGGTTAATATATTTGTTTTCCCTTTTCCTTTATGTCTTCTGAAACTCTATTTCTGTATTAATACCTTACTATATTTTCCAGAATCATATGGTCTTTTAGTTTCAAGGTAGTTTTGGAAATAAGTTTGGTATAAATATGATAATAAAAACTAATAGATTGGGTGTACTCCACTTCTTCAGTTTAATTTCCTACTAGAAACAATATGGCAAAATCCTTGCCTTCAGAACTAAAAATATATTTTATGCATGTGTTTCATATGACAGATGATTGAAAAGAAAATAGTTCTTTTCTTTCTCTAGAAGCATTTATTCCATACCTATTTTCTACATGCAAGACACTGGGCTTAATGATGGGTTAAGAAATAACAAAGGCAAGTCTAGATTGGGAGACAGACACTCACATTAGCAGCTACTAAACAATGTGATGATTCCATTTATATGAAATGTCCAGAGTCAGAGAATCTGAAGAAACAGAAGACAGAATAGTGGTTGCCAGGGGCTGACAGTAGTGGGGAATAAGGAGTGACTGCTTAATGGGTATGAGTTTTCCTTTTGGGGTGATGAAAATTTTCTGGAACTAGATAGTGGTGACAGTTGTATAATATTGTAAATGTGCTAAATGTCACTAGTGGTACATTTTATCATTTTATATTATGTGTCTTTTCTACAATAAAATTTTTAAAAATTAAAACAATAAGCAAACAAGACTCTGATGTAGTGAGGACAACTAATTTATTTTGATACATCATGGCCTTCACCATGATTTTGAGGAATAAATGAACCCCAGCATTGTGTAGTGGCTCTTCTCTGTAGGTCAGAAATTACACCGGGAACCACTATCATCACATTGAGATTTCTAAATACGACAAGAATAAGGAGTGTCCAGGCTGGTAAGTGCCAGTGGAAGTTACTTATTCATTCATTCAACAAATATTTACTGAGTGTTACTATGTGTTAGTCGCTGTATTAGGTGCTGGGGACAAATGCTTAGCAACACGAGGCATGCGTGCTCTCTCAAAGACCACTGTCTGGTAAAGTTGACCACACATAAATGCTGTGAAGAAAGGAAATGCATAGCCAAGAAGTTTGGCCTAATCGAAGGTTTTGGACAAGGGTCAGGGAAAATTATCCAGAGGAAGAAACCACTGACCTGAGTTTTGGAGGGTGGCTAGAAACTAGAAGGAAACGGGCTGTGGGAGGGGAAGCACATTGAGCTTGCCAGGAAGGAAGAATCGTGTGTGTAAAGAAGAAACAATAAAAAAGGAGGGGAAAATGGGTATCACAAGGCTTGAGGAGAAGGCAAGGAACAACCTATATGGGCCACTTGAAGGACTGCAAGGCCCTGGAGCAGAGCTGGTGGGGTGATGTGGCGAGACCATGAGCGACATGGTAGACCTTTCAGATTACCATCATGGGCAAGACACGGATCAGGGAGGAAACAGTGCATAAGAGGAAAGTGTGATTGACATTAAGGAGGCTATTGATACATAACTTGATGACAGATTGTATCTAGGGTTGTAGAGGAAAAGGGGAAGAGAGAGATAAAAAGTGCTCCAGAAGCACGTTTTGGAGATAAAAGGAAGTGTTCCAGAAGCAAGCACTTTAACAGGGGAGGTGGGTCATACTGACTGACTCAATCAGGAAATATTAACACAGACTTTTTGTCAGTGACTCTCACATAAGAGTTGCTCCTGTGCTTTTTGGAGATGTAATTGGTAATGAGTAGCAGGTCTACATGGCAATGACAGCTATATATTTTGTAACTCATTAAAATATATATTAACTGTCCAGGAAAGGGTACATAGTTCAGTTATCCTTAGCCAATACATTACGTTCTTTTTAAGTTATAGGAGTGAAATGATAAGAGGGCAAAGAAAGCTACCAGTTATTGGCTGGGCACAGTGGCTCACACCTGTAATCCCAGCACTTTGGGAGGCCAAGGCTGGTGGATCACAAGGTCAGGAGATCGAGACCACCCTGGTTAACATGGTGAAACCCCGTCTCTACTAAAAATACAAAAATTAGCTGGATGTGGTGGTGGGCACCTGTAGTCCCAGCTACTCGGT
Organism: Homo sapiens; assembly: GCF_000001405.40. Taxonomy (NCBI): domain Eukaryota; kingdom Metazoa; phylum Chordata; class Mammalia; order Primates; family Hominidae; genus Homo; species Homo sapiens. Next base: position 55,967,817 of record NC_000001.11, on the reverse strand, counting down.
AGGCTGAGGCAAGAGAATTGCTTGAACCCGGGAGGCGGAGGTTGCAGTGATCCAAGATGGCAGCACTGCACTCCAGCCTGGTGATAGAGCAAGACTCCATCTCAAAAAAAAAAAAAAAAAAAAAAAAGAAAGCTACCAGTTATTGAGTATCTATCTACACCATATCTGGTACTATGCTAGATAATTATTATATTACTTTATTTTTTATGATCCTATGTAATACACCTTTCCCTCTATTCTAAAGAAGAGGAAACTAAGGCTCAAAGTAAATTAGTACATTATTTACAAATCATCAGGTAATAAGTAAGAAGAAGTGCAGTTTAAAATTAGGTCCCTGGTCACCTTCCAAGATTTATACTCATTCAAATATGATATTTTTCAATTACACTCATTTGTGTTATCACTTTCATGATTTCTACTACACAGATGTGTAACACTCCTATCAGTATTTTCTTAATATTATTCTTTAAATTTGTTTATCTTATTTTTTACTCACATTAAGTATACTTTATAAGGATGTTTTATATCAACCTTATGAGTAGAAATCTGTACCCACAAAGGCAACCAACCATAAAAGGAAAAATGTAACCATAAAAATTATAATTAAACCAAGCAACATCACTAAATTCTAGCTACACATTGTTGTTTTCTGCTGAGGATTTCAGTTTGATGCCTGTTCTTTATCTGTTCAAAAGAGGGGTTAGGAAATGCCAGGGAAGTATTCAAGAATAGTACCATACTGAGGGATAATTCCTGGTAGTTATTCTACTGAACAGAAAAGAAAATAATTTTCTCATAGTCCATTTCATTGTTGTTTACTGCTGTGAACCACCTTAAACCATTTTTCATGCTACTGACATCAAATGCTCCATAGCTGTGGAGCCACTGAACTATATCATGCTGCTTCTATAGTTGAGATACCTACACTTTGGAATTTCACTAGATTTGGATCCAACCAACTTTCGTACTCAAGATTGTGATATCCAGAAAATACGGAGCAGTTAAAATTGTCTCTTTTAAAGGAACTATTCTGAATACGATCGAATATAATCCCTCATGCTTTAGGTAGGTCACTGGCTGTGCCGACATGGAGGAGAAAGTGGGAAGCAACTGAAATCTTGTTTCTTGGGCATTTTGTGAAATTTACCTGAAGAAGGAATATTTTCAAAGCTGATTTTTAAAATCAAGCTTTTACCATTTGAGAGTCCACCACATAATCCATACCTGAAATTATAAAAAGCAGAGAGACCTTGGAATAATTATGGTCCTGAGTTCACCAAGAGAAGTCCATAAAGACAGGTCAAGACGACAAGCAGAGGCATCAGGCCAGATTGAAAAGGGGAAGAAACAAAACCTACGGAATTTGGCTTTCAATGAAAAGAGAAGGGAAAGCAGCAAGTGCATTTTTGAGGAAAGAACAGATGGAAGGAAAGTTAAGCAAAGTTAAAAAACATCTTTGTGGTTTGTACCACAAAAACCAGCAGAGCTGTGGTTTCTCTGGAGCTAGAGATCTGAAAGGTAAGGAAAATAGGGATCGCATTACACTGTCCTCAAGGGTTTAATGTGCAAGGCAATGATTCTAAGGACGGTCTGACTAATTCCCTTTCTGTCTCAGAGATGAGCAAGGAGACAGAGAGGTATCTAAACCTGTAACGGCATATATTAACCCAGTCTGAATGATTTACTGTTACCATATTTGGGCTGACTTTGAGTGCAGGAGAGGGGAAAAAATGAAGAAAAACAAGCTGACCCATAAAAAGAAATCGTAGAACTTCATGTCCCAACAAGTGGGTAAAACTGTTAACATTGTTTTTTATGGCCTAATAAATGTCTTTCATAAAAATTGCTGAAAACATACCCCCTAGATCTCTTTATTAGATTTAAAAAGAGATTATTGATCAGAAGGAAGAATTGTTCAAAAAGAGGGTTAGAAAAAAACCAGGTCTTAGGTTAAGTTAAAATATTGACGGTCTTTTTAAAACTCCATAATTCAAGTATTTTCATACATGTGATGGAAATGAGTCTAGAGAACTTAGATAACTTGTCTGAAGAAACAAAGCTAAAAGATGGTAAATTCAGGATTTAAACCCTGCTTGAATCTAAAACTTTAGATCTTTCAGCAAAATCCCCAAGCCTTATCTAACTACTTATATGGGACTGTGTATCCGATCAATGGAAATGGTCCACATAGTACCAATATTACATCTGAAATTTTATGGATTCACAAAACAAGTGTGTGAAGAAGACATGATGGTTATTTTGACCCCCATTTTTAAGACATGGCAAAATGCTATGAGCAACGACATAATGGTCATATCTCCTCTATAGATGACAAAACTGAGGCCCAGGTGATAATGTATCTTATCCCAGATGATATAGCTAGTAAGTGGTAGTTCTGGTCATTGACTCCAAATCTCATGTTATATCCTCCAATCACAATAATTTTTGATAACGTAAGGCCTTATTTTCAAATATGTTTCACTGGTGCTCATCTGAAATACTGGGACAATCAACATTTCACCATTTCCATAGCCACTCTAATTCAATCCACCATGATCTCTTTCCTGAACTGCTGTGATAGCCCCTTCACTGGTCTCCTTCCAGTCATTCCGCCAGTTTTGCACTCTATTCCATTCTCTAGACTGTAGCAAGAGTGATCTTTTAAAAATTTTAATCAGATATTGTCACTTCTCTGCTTAAAACTCTACAACTCTTTTCCATGAGTGTTAAGGAAATAACTTATTTTCAATTCCCTATGATATCCTGCATGCCTGCCTCTCCAGTCTCTGCTTGTCTAGCTTTCCCATGTTCTCATTGGGTTCTAGCACTTTGGTCATCCGGAAGCTCCTTCACCATGCCAAACTCTTCAGCACCTTAAGTCTTCCTATTTGCTGGACCATCTCTCCAGGTAAGACTTCAACTCTTTTTTCCTATGGCTTCCCTGAGTGCTCAGGGATAGTCCTCTCTCAAATTAAATTTCATTGATTTAAATTTAAATCAGTCTGTAGCCATAGCCCCCAAACCATAGAAATTATCTTAAAGAACATTATTCTTTTTTTTAAACCTATCACTTCCCTGAGAATATAGACATATATTTCTTTAAATTTTGACTAAATTGTAATCTTCATGCAGGTCAAAGATCACGCACAATGCATTAACATTAAACACATGTAAATGGAATCAGGAACTCATCTGAACTCGTTCACTCATCTGTATGATGGAAACAACCATACTTACCCCACAAGACTTTGAGAATTAGCTGAGTTAATGCACATGATGGCTCTAGATACCTAGAAGTCACTGTCTAGATGTAAGTTATTCTAATGAGTCAAGTAGAAACAGTGTCTCACACCTTTGGAAATAAATGATTATGGTTCGATTAAGTAGATCTCTATGATGTTGTTTCAAGGTGAGAAATAAGATTAAGGAATAGAAGTTCTAAGAAAGTAGTCTTATCACTACAAACAAAGAACTATTAAAGTGTTACGTACAGTCCAAAAATAGAATATACTGACTGTGGAGTGGTAAGTTCTCTAACACTAGAGGATGTTGCTTGTGCATTTGACAAAGACTTGACTAGATAGCTCTTACGCCTCTTGCAAACTCAGGCATTCTCTAATTTTAGAAAGTAAAAATAAGAAAAACACTCACAAGTTTGGACATGTAACTCAAAAGGGAAAAGTTTCATACACACCTACCTGAGGTTTGCTATATAGGATGACAGTGAGGGGAAAATTCTGTTTTAACATTTTCCAAGATAAATCTGCGACATTGTTTTCAGTTAGCAGGTCTTCAAAACATTAACTCTAAGGTAAAAGCATGAAGATAACCATATTTTTTGCTTACAAAGATAAGGAGTAAAAGGTCTCTAACTCTTAGATTAGGAGGCCTATGGCTAGGGAAACTTGTTCAAGTAAAGTTCCATCCTACCCATATAATTGTTTCCATGGAGGATATATAAAAGCACACGTGCACACAAAAGCCAGCTTTCCAAAAGTGCACTAGAATAAAACTTAAGTAAGAAAGACAAAGAAAAACAGAAAATAATTTCAGCTTTCCAGAAGGCCATGCAAACACAGAAAAGAAAGCAAGAGCTGAAGAACAAAGCAATGCATAGATCCCTACCTCATGTCTGGGAAATCAGATCTCAGCCCCTATGTTGCCGTGCACTGGTATGATTCAGTCCCTTCAGAGGTGTGCCACAGGGATTTGTTACTGATGTTTAAATACAAATGAGTGTGCATATTTTTTAAAGTAATGTTACTAGAAGAGAAATCACTAATCTTCCACCTTAGTGTGTTAGTTAAGTATTAGGAATTTAGATCCTCATCGAACCTGCCTTCCAGTGCCATCCAAGACTCAGAGTTGACCCCAAAAGTAAAGCTTCTGCCAGATGTTTGTAAGAGTAAGAAGGGGTCATTAAAGGATAGGCAACTGTGGCAGTATCCCATTTCTAATGGACCTACTGATCATATTCTGATAGTAGTGTTGGCATGCGGTGGGTTTTGTCGCTGCTGTTGGCAACCGGTGTCTATCCTCTCCTGCTTCATGGCACAGGACTCTGAGTTTCCTTTAGAGAACCACCCCTCCCACATTTCCATCCATGGGAGCTGAGCCCACCCTAAGCTTCAGCTCCTGGCTTACATTGATCTGCAAAGTCTAACCCTGAGGCCATGATAATTGATTCAGGGAAGGGTGTGAGACTAAACTCTGACCATGAAAATGATAGAAATGAGGATGATCCTGGGCAAGAAGCTTCCTTGGTGTCCTGTGAGAGACCATAAGAGTCTCTGTTCTTCACGCCAAAGGGACTGAGAAGCACGTAGCCCCTTGAGCTGCTGACAGTCTTTTTATGAATACAAGTACTACTGTTTCCAGATGACATTAACACAGTGGAAAGCAGACGTAGAAAGAACAATGCCTACCCCAACCACACACACAAAGAGATGCCAAAGTCCTAATCCTTGTGAATGTTACCTTATATGGCAAAAGGGACGGTGAAGATATGATTAAGTCAAGGATCTTGAGATGGATAGATCATCTTGGTTTATTGGAATAAGCTCAGTGTAATTTCAAGAGTTTTTATAAAAAAGAGAGGAAAGAATATCAAGGAGAGAAAAGGGGAAGTGGCAAAGGCAGCAGAGAGAAAGAGAAATTGGAAGGTGCTGTGCTGCTCACTTTGAAGATGGCAGCCTCTAAAACCTAGAAAAGGCAGGAAGCAGTGTCCTCTCTAGAGCTCCAGAAGGAGCACAGCTCTGCCCAGACATTGACTTCGGGATTTTGATTTCTAGAACTGTAAGATAACACATTTCTGTTGTTTTAAGCCACTAAGTTTATGGTCATTTGTTATAGTAGTGACGGGAAATTAATACAGCAGAAGAGAAAGATGGATAGAGACAGGCTTACTGGTTGTTTGGTGGTATTGTTGAAGCACTATATCAAACTCTGGTGAAGTCCCTTGTACTTTTTGAGGTTTGGGTTATAAAAACTGACTTCATTGTTTAAGATTACTGGATTTAGGTTTTTTTAAATTACCTGGACCAAATTACCCTAACTGATAGCAGCACTGAGTAAATATAGAAGAACCAACACTACTCTGCTTAGCAAGGTTCAGTGCTACCCTTTATTGTAGAGGATAGCAGTGTAGATTTTGTTGCAACTAGGAAAGTATTTCTCTTCTTTAATACAGATTTTGGCTGTTGTGTTTCTGAGCATCAGTGCATTCATTTGAAGGTGTAAGTGTTTGTATTTTACTCAGGATTTTCACTTGTATTGGGGAATGGTTGGTGAGATATGTGTGGAGACGGAGCTTGGAGATCAATACTAACCTCACACTTAGAGGGTCAAATCCCAGCCACCACTGTCTTGGCAAAGCCTTCCATGTTGAATAACTTGGTAATTGTATTGCTGAAGGATTACTGTGTCCAGAAATAACCTGTGGAAACAGATGTCAACACTGATTAAATGTTTGAGGCCACAATGTTTCCGTGAAGAATAAGGATTCACATTGTAGGACAATCTATAAAAGGGAGGTCATCAGGGGAAGGAGTGGAGACTTGCGGATGGCAGGATTAAGCAAGAAATTGGGTGCGTCTGATAGAGACACTCCTGTGAAAGGGTTTAATTGTAATCTTGTCTTGGATTATAATGGACCATTATATAAAGCATTTTTTGAAATCATAATTAATTTGGTTATATTCAACCTCCAGTAAGGCCTTTTGGGATGGTATGGTGGAGAAGAGAAGTAATAGGCTACACAAAAAAGAGTGTCTTGTCCACCCTCAGCCACTGCTACCTAGAAAGATGGAACAGCACCCTGTCAAGGGGGAGTATAGACCAGGAGTTTCGGGGTAGCCAACTTCCACAGGAGCAGTGGCTGGCAGTGGTGGGGAGCAGTGAGGGACACCTCTGAGCAGCAAACTGTGGAGTGCACCTGAGGCAAATCACTGTTTTTAAGGTTTTCTGAAGAAGGTGATCCTTGAACAGGGAGACAGGTGGGAGGCTTTCATTAAATAAAATGTGTCATGGTTATCCCTATACAAATACCTCTCTCACTTACCCTACAGAATGCCTTCTTGAGCAGGAGGAAAAGAGATGTCATTACTTCTCCAGAATATGAGGTGGGAGGATGGGAAACTGGGCATAACCCACACATAATATTATCTGCCTGGCTCCACAGCACAGGGGAGAATGTCAGACTGTGAGCTCCAGCCTCTATGCCTGTCTCAGCAGAAAAAACAAAGCCTGAAAACAAACGGACGAGGGCTAGTCATGCTGTGATAGAAACAATATGAGCTTTTGACTCAGAGGGACCTGGGTCTCATTTTTGGCCTTAAAAATATACTAATTCTCATATTTGAACAAGGTACCAAAACACTCACAGCCTCAGTTTTGTCTTCTATAAAACGAGACACACTGCTGTCAGGAATTGAGAATCATCAATAAAGAATGAAAGTATTTAACAAGTGCTTAATAACTAGTATCTATTATTATTTGTATTTTTATCTAATGTTTCTAGCATAATTCCTGGAATGGAATAAGTTCTTAATAAGTAGTAACAGCAAACATGTCTATAACACTTAACTATGTTTTGGGCACTGCTTTAAGTACTTTACTTGTATTAACTAATATAATCTTCATAGTAACCTAAGGAAGAGCTCATTTTTTCCTATTATACAGATAAGAAAATTGAAGCCCGAGAGCTTAACTTTTCCAAGGTCACATAGCTAGTAAATGGCAGGGCTAGGATTAGAACTGACGTTCTCAAGCTACAGAGTCCATTCTCCTAATGGTGTTGTTATAAATGTTACTTCCCTCCTGCCTCTCCCTACCTCTGTGGTAGATGCTGTGAGTAGATATGAAAAGAGCATAAAGCATTCCATTCCCCTTGAAGAACACAAAGGATGAAGAACTCAGCTGCATGAGGCCACTGGAACAGATATAAAACCATGTGGACCCCAGTGGTGCTTCATACATTTTAAACTAAGTGTGTCCGGGGCTGGAGACATCACAGTGAATGGTAAGAATCCAAGTCATATTAGAGAAATGATGTGCCAGGAGCTGGCTAAAGTAGTTGACAGGAAAAATATCTGACTCAGTTTCCCCCTTGTCATCTACGGAACACACAGAGCTCTCAAAGGAAGAGAAGGAAAGAACGCTTTCAGCAATCTTAAACCCACAGGACTAATAAACATTAGATGTTATAGTCTCCTCATTTTACAACCAGTGGAGACAGTGACCTGCTGGAGCTCACAGAGGTAGACTGTAAGGCATCTGGGGGAACTGGAAGCAGCTCATGGCAGCTACAGTGAAGGGCATGTTGTGGAAGTGGGGATGGAGAAGGCTGCAGAAACTATGCATGGGAAGAGCTCACAGGAAGCACATTGGCAGCAGCCTTCAAGCGGTGCTAGGCACTATCTTCATGACAGCCATTATTTTGATAATCATTTTAGAATGCAGAGCATTATCTTTGAGGTGGAGAGATCAGTTAGGAAATTATTTCATAATCTAAGGCAGTGGTGATGAGAGTTTGGATGCAGTTAGAGGCCACAGTGGCATAGAGGAGGAAGCATATTGAATAAATATCTCTAATATAAAATATTACATTGGTGTTATGCACAACTAAGTCTTGCAGATGTGGTAAAACATGGTCCTCCTTCTAGGTGGAAGGCTGTGGCCAATATGAGAAGAGTAAGGAAGCAGAGACCAGGGAGGGGACAGAAAAGACTAACCCTTGGCCTGCTTGTCAGTTTGGCCCTCTTCACTGCAGAGAGCTTGGATTTTGTTGAACACAGAGGAACCCTTTCCTCTTTCCAGCTGAGCACATCTGGTTTTGGCGTTGAAAGGATCTGAGGTGTCAGGTTTAAATGCCTTATCTGACCAGCTAAAGAGGAGAAAGGATGGGAAGCATGTCAACACTGTGACCTCCCTAGGGGCTGTAAGCAATCTCCTAATAATAAACATGAAGCTGTGGCCAGAGGAGGCCCATGATGGTGGTTGTTTCCCTGACCAGAATTTTATATGCACACAAGCTGGAAAACGTGGTCAGAAGTCTTAGCCATGTGTTTCATAAGGTCCTAATACGTCTCTAGACTCTTTTCTAATATTATCTCAGGGAGAAATGTAGTAGGGGAGATATGAGTCAGACAACCACCTCAATCTTTTTTGGAGAGTACCATTGATATTTGGGCTACTATGGTGAAAAGCCCTTTACATAGCTATGAAGGAATAGAGTTGGCAATTATAAAAATGGGGATAAATTTGAGAATCAACTTTGTTGCATCCACACTGTCTATTTGGTGATGTTTGTGCTTTGGTAACCTCTTGGATCTTGGAATGCTTTCCATTATTCCAACTTGCTTTCAGCAAAGTGTTAAAAATTAATTCATAGTAAGGTGTGAATTGTTGATAGAAGCTTAAAATGTTGCTCCTTCCTGGGTATTTACAGAAAAAAAAAGGAGGAGTCAGAGATAAAGCAGTGGGGCTATGAGGTGCTGGGTTTCAGAAACTGGCCTTAGTGGTATGAAGACCATCCCAACTGCTCCATCTGAAATGCACTTGCACCTGCTTCCAGGGCCTAACATGTTCTGCAAAGCCCGTATCAGCCACATATGCTTTTCAACTCTGGCCCACAGGAATTTCCCCTTCATTGAACTTCTCTTGGTTTTACCACATGCTAGTAACTTAACACTTGTATAGAATTGCAAAAAAGCAAACCAGTTAGCTATCTCCTTTCGGATGGCATGGTCTAAAACTAGCTGAGTCTTTGGAGATGCAGGACTTTGAGTTCAAATCCCAAGTTCACCATTTACTAGTTGGGTGCCCTTAGGCTACATCATTATGCAGTACCTCAATTACCAAATTTGTAAACTGGGTGTATGAATGCTCACAGAACAACTGTGAGAATTCAGGGAGACTGCACAGGGAAATTACCAAGACACAATAAAGGTTTAACGAAAGTTAAGAGTGTCCCTCTCTCTCTCCTTTTTCAAACTCCTAAAATGATGGGAATAGGCAGCATGAAGTAGTTCAGTTATTTCCCAAGCTCTTGGTATTTGCAATCAACCTGTGCAATGTTTTGCAATACTGGTGTGCTACTTGTACTGTTGATGATTGAATATTTTTAAAAATCTATGTATGAAAATTTAAATTTAAATCTGCATGACAACTGTAAATGGAAAAAAATCACTATCTCTTGCACTAAAGAGAAGGTAAAGCTAAATGCAATAAGGCAAAGCAATATTATTACATTCTAAGTAGACTTGGTATTAGATTTGCTTGCTTACTATTGAAAAAGGAGGATTAGCAAATATTAAATAGGTTTTATAGATATGCTCTTATGAAATTGAGGATTTTTCCTTGATGTAAAGAGGTTTGAAATATAATTGAAAAGGAACAAAATGTTACATGATGAGATTTTTTGTCATTTAATTGATGTCCCTCAACCATTTAAGTCAATTTTTATTCCACTCATTCTTTAGAAGAAAAATTATAGTGGAAAAACCAAAGTTTGGAAGCTAGAGAAACCAGGATATAAAATTCAGCTCCACTCCTTACTTGCTAATTACACTGGGCAAGTTATTCAAAGTCTCTGGGCCTCAGTTTCCTCCTATGTAAAATTAAATATTAATACCCCAGTTGGAGGTTATTTACATGGATGCAATAAAGAATGTAAAAAAAAAAAAGTACCTAGTAAAGTGCCTTGAATTCATAACAGAAAAGCAAAATGATGATGACAGGGAAAATTGTCTTGTCAAAGGGCAGATAAATAAAATAAAGGGCAGGTTGTTTGTGTGCCCAGCCACCTAATTTGCTGGGACAAAGATGTTCTGTAATTCTAATCCCAGACATCTGGACAATCTGTCAGCACATAACTGGGTGGTTTTGAAACACCCCAGGATTATATAATGTTGGATGGAAACCAGGACTGTTGGACCTTCTTCTTGTATTTCTTGATATACTGGTTTCATTTCTCAACCATACAAACTTAAAAAAAAACTTTTTTGTAAAAGTCTAAGAAAATACAGTTAAGCAGAAAAGAGAAAAATAAATACTTGTGATCCCACTACCCTAAAATAAAAACTGTTAATATTGTCAAATATTTTTTGCATTTTTCTGTGCAGATTATAAGTATATAAGTTTTCAAGTGAAAGGCTACTCTACCCTTTGCTTCATTATCAACTTAGTTAACTCAGCAAGTAAAACATGTACTCACACAAATATTTGTATCAGTAAATATCATTCTACAACATGATTTTCATGCCTATGATAGAATATCCTAGGAATGCAGCAAAATGTCCTTTGTCAATTCTCTAACATTATTTAGTCTTCCCCCCTTTAAGTTAATAACTACTATTTTTATTTACTTATTTATATTTTTATTTTATTTTATTTTGAGACAGGGTCTCACTCGGTCTCCCAGGCTGGAGTGCAGTGGCGCAATCTCAACTCACTGCAACCTCCATCTCACGGGTTCAAGAGATTCTCCTGCCTCAGCCTCCCTAGTAGCTGGGACTACAGGCATGTGCGACCACATTCTGCTGATTTTTGTATTTTCAGTAGAGATGGGGTTTTGCCACATTGCCCAGGCTGGTCTCGAATTCCTGAGCACAGGTGATCCATCCACCTCAGCCTCCCAAGGTGCTGGGATTACAGGCATGAGCCACAGCTCCTGGCTAATAACTACTAATTTAAAATATTGTAATTCATTTCCTTTAAATTAATCATCCAGAAACAAACATATTTCTTTCAAATGAGTTATAAAAGAATTTCTTGTTAAAAAATATAGGGAGTTTAATGCTCTGCTACTTTGTCATGTTAATCTTTGAAAACTTAATATCAATTTACAGTAAAAATATAAATAACATTCATTTCTTAGTACCCCTGCCCAAACTAGGTGGTACAGCATAAAGATATTTTTGCCAATTTAGGTGAAAATGTTATTATTTTAGTTTGTACATTCCTATATACTTGGGGATGGTTTCTATTTCTTCTGATATAAACTTTGTGTTCAAATTTGTACTTTTTTTTTTCCTTTTGGGTACTGATCTTATTCTTACTGATTTGCAAGAAATCTTTACATATTAAGTTCAGTAATTTGTATGTCTGAACATTGGCACTATTTTTTCCTGTAATGTGTTGACTTCTTGTTTTTATACATACCATATGTGATACATAGAATGTTAAAAAATATTTTGTAGTCATAAGGATTAGTGATTTATTTTATGATTGCATTTTTGGTGTCAAGCCTAGAATGATTATATAAATTTCCTCTATAGATGATTATATAAATTTTTGCTTATATTTTCTTCCAGTGCTTTACAAGTATTTTTAATTATATATATAAAACACAAATATAATTTTATTGTAAAATTTAAATGTTTATGATAAGAATTACTGAAACATGCCCTTGTTTCCTTGATTATCTCATTTAGTCTCATGGCGTAGAATGTGATCTGATGATGCCCAAATTTATACATCTATTTCTGACCTGTCCTGTGAATTCCAGAGTTACATATCCATCCACTATTCAATATCTCTTCTTGGATATCAATTAATAATAAGCATTTCAAATTTAACGGATCCACAACTAGTCCCTGATACCCCCTTTAAAACCTCCTCCTCCCAGTGATCCTTCCATGTCAGTGATTACCAAATCTACCTTCTTATTGCTCATAATAACAGCCTTAGAGTCCTTCTGCCTCTCTTTCTCTAACATGCTTCTCCTAACCGATCAACAAGTCCTCTCAGCAATACTGTCAAAATATATCCAGAAACTAGCTGCACTGTTACCAACCTGATCTCACCCACTGCCGTCTCTCTCTCCAGTATTATGGCACACTCTTATCTGACTCATCTTTGTGTGATTCTCTACATAGTAACCACAGCGATCCTGTTTAAAACAAAAATAACTAAGTCGGATCATGCCTCTCTGTGGCTTGAATATTCCACCAGCTTACTCGCTCACTCGGTGGAATCACTGAAGTTCTCAAGTGGCCTATAAGGCTCTGCGAACTATGTCTTATCTTTTATGCCAGGCTCACTCTCTCTTGCACTCACTGTTTCTTCTGTCAGAGAAAATGCTCCCATAACCAGATGGGATGGCTCTCCCTCACCTCTTCTACATCTTCACACAAATGTCATCTTAGTGAGGCCTGCTCTCCTTGTCTTGTACGTGTGTGTGCACGCATGCATGCGCTTTATTTTCCTCTGAAGCGTTTGTCACCATTTAATATAGGGTACATTTTACTTAAATATTTTATTGATGGTTTATGTCCTCCCCACGAGAATGTATGATCCATGAGGGCAGAATTCTTGTTGTTATTCACTGCTGTATCCCCAGCAACAAGAATATGGCCTGGCACTTTGTAGGCACTCAATCATTGTTTAATTGAATTAACTAATTAATTTATGATGATCTCCCCTTTTCTTATCACTCTCAAATTCAGTCTGTTCCCCACATCCAAGAGGTAACTAACAGTAAGTGAAGAAAGTAAGTTGAAGAATACATTGTATGCAAGAAATCTATAATGTAAAAAAAAAAAAGTAAGTGCCAAAATACAGTTATGGAAGAACACACACCAAACTAAGATGCTGTTATTCCACCTGGAACTTATTATTTTGTGAAGTATGAGGGGGAATATATTTTTTCCCCAAGTGACTTGCCAGTTGTGCTATTATTATAAAAAACTCTCCATCAATTCCCCACTGATCTGTTATGCCACTTCTAGCATATATCACATCTGTCTCTACTCAGCTCAGTTTCCTTGACTGTCTATATCTGCAAAGCACAATTTTAAAATTATAGCTGTATAGCAAAGTTGCCTATCTATTAGAGTTAGTCATCTCTTATTACACTTTTTCAGAATGTCCCTGGCTATTTTCATGAGTTTATTCTCTCAGATATCTTTTGGAATTAAGTTGTTGGGTTAAAGAATTAGAATTTTAATTGGGATTTCATTAAATTTACAGATTAATGTGTGGAGAATTCACATACCTACAATACTAAGTCTTTCCATCTTGGAACATGGTATTTCCTCCCAGTAATTCATCTATTTTATGGCCCAGAGTATAGTCATTCTGTCATCCTTAGGTTTAGTACATTTCCTATTAATTTTTAAAGTAAATTATTACTGGAATGTAGAACAGCTATTCATTTGTATGTAGTAATTTTTATCATAAGCCAATGTACTGAGTCTTCTTATTGGATCTTTGTTGTTGTTGTCTTCATCATTGTTGTCGTTCCTGTTGTTGCTGCTGTGACTATTTGGTTTTCCAGATAGACACTCATCATCTCAAAATAACAGTAATTTTGTCACCCCTTTGATTAGCCTGGTTTCCTCAGAATTCAGACATTGAGGTAGTGGTTTATATACCAGTAATTGAGTAGGGACTACAATCCCATTTAATAGCTTTTGCACACTGGGGGGCAACGCAGAGAAAGACAATCAAAAGACATGTCGCTGAGGGGGTCACAGCTAGAGGTGACCGCTTGTCTTATTCCCACAGGACTGACTGAGAAGCAAATGTAATACATCCCTGGATTACCTGTGATTAGGAGAGCAAAGGAGACGAATTTCTCCATTTTCTTGCATCTACCATTTGTCAAAGTTTCATCCCATGAAGTGTTCACTTTGCCTAACTTCTGGGTTTGCATGCGTGGGCACTGAGTGCAGTCCCAGCACTTTCCATGCCTCAGAATTAAGCGAGAGGCTCCAGGGAAGGAGAGGCACATGGTGCAGGTCTGAGGTGAGGCTGTGTTGGATTGGATCAGCAATAAGTCAGTCTGAGAGTACATAGAACTGTGCTTACTGGAATAAGAGAGAGATGAAGCACAGGGGATGTGAAGTGGTGTGTAAGAGATGGCTGTTACAGTCCACCCCTTGTACCCAAGATCCTCTAATGCCTTCCATGATATCCAGCTGCTATAGTGCAATATGGAGGCAAAAATGATGCCCTTACTTCATCTCTGAGAGAAGGGAGATACAAACCCAATCTTTTAGAGAGTCACATTCAAAAAGGTAGCCAGCCAAAATCCATGCAAGGTTTTATAAGAGGGGTAATGAAACAAGGTCTAGTCCCTGTTTGTATTAGTCAGGATTCTGTTAGAGGGACAGAACTAATAGGCTATATATATGTGTAAAGGGGAGTTAATATTAAGTATTAACTTACACCATCACAAGGTTCCACAATAGTCTGTCTGCAAGCTGAGGAGCAAGGAAAGCCAGTCCGAGTCCCAAAACAGAAGAACTTGGAGTCTGATGTTCGAGGGCAGGAAGCATCTAGCACGGGACAGAGATGTAAGCTGGGAGGCTAGGCCTGTCTCTCTTTTTCACTTTTTTCTGCCTGCTTTACATTCTCTCGAAGCTGATTAGATTGTGCCCACCAGATTAAGGGTGGATCTACCTTCCCCAGCCCACTGATTCAAATGTTAATCTCTTTTGGCAACACCCACACAGACAAACCCAGGATTAATACTTTGTATCCCTCAATCCAATCAAGTTGACAGTATTAACCATCACACTGTTGTTAAAGCTACACTGATGATCTCTCACTTTCTGCCCAGTAGAGTCTCTGACTTCCCTTTTGGGGTGCCTGCAGAAACACTCTCAGTCATTCTGATGTTATTTTATATGTGTACCATACATGTATTTATACTGAAAGTGTCTTTCTTATAGGCAAGCATAGAGTCAGGTCTTGCTTTTTGAATCTAGTTTGAAAATGATCCCCCTTTTAATTACAGTATTTAGGCCATTTAAATTTAATGTAATTATTGATACAGTGGGCATAAATGGTCATTTTGCTATTTATTTTCTATTTGTTTCTATTTCTTATTTCCTTTTATCTTCTTTGCTGCCTCCTCTTGGATTATTTTTTAGTATTTTACTATTCACCACTATTGGCTCAATAGTTGTATTTTTTTTGCGGTACATTGTTTAGTGGTTGCTTTAGGATTTACGATTTTCTATTTTAACCTACAACCGCCTTCAAATTATATTATGTGACTTTGTGTACTGTATAAGAATCTTACAATAGTATACTTCAATTTCCCCTTCTTATACTTCATTCTGGTATTGTCATGCATTTTACTTCTACCTATATTCCAAATTTTACAACTTAATATTATTTTTGTTTTACAAATTGATTTAAGGAGAAAAAGTCTACATTTAAGATTTCTAAGGGTCATTCCTTTTGTAGATCTGAATATCTACCTGGCCACATTTTCCTTTTTCCAAAAGAATTTTCTTTAACTTATAGTGAAGATATTCTACATATAAATTTTATACTGCTTTGTTGGTATAAATTTTTAAAGCAATAACTTTTTTTGAATAACATTTTCTTTGTTCTGTCCTAATGCTCTGTTTATGCTTCTTTTGCTTTTATGTATTTCATTTTGGGCAATTTCTACCGTTATATCTTCAAGTTAATTTTTCTTTTTCAGGAGTCAATCTGTTTATTTTCTATTTTAGTTTCATTGTATTTTTTTTCTAGAAATTCCACTTGCGCCTTATTTTTATATCTTGCATTTTTTCTTCTTATTCTGTTTATGTTTTCACTTTCTTCTTGAAAAGATGAAACATTTCAACATATTTTTGGTCTGATAGTTTTATTATTTTTGTCATTTAAGGTCTGTTTCTATTAATTTTTTCCAGATTATGGTCTATAATATCCTGTTAATTTTGTATTGAATGTCAGTGTATTAGTCAGCATTCTCTAGAGGGACAGAACTAATAGGATAGAGGTATATATAAAGGGGAGTTTATTGTGGAGAATTGACTCACACAATCACATGATGAAGTCCCACAATAGGCCATCTGCAAGCCGAGGAGCAGAGAAGCCAGTCCAAGTCCCAAAACCTCAAAATTAGGGAAGCCGACAGTGCAGCCTTTACTCTGTGGCCAAAGGCCCAAGAGCCCTGGCAAACCACTGGTGTAAGTCCAAGAGTCCAAAAGCTGAAGTACTTGGAGTCTGACGTTCAAGGGCAGCACAGCAGAAAGATGAAGACTGGAAGACTTAGCAAGTCTGTTTATTCCACTTTCTTCTGCCTGTTTTATTCCAGCTGTGCTGGCAGCTGATTAGATGTTGCCCACCCAAAACAAGGGTAGGTCTGTCTTTCTTAGTCCACTGACTCAAATGTTAATCTCCTGTAGCAACACCCTCACAGACCCAACCAAGGACCATAATTTGCATCCTTCAGTGCAATCAAATTGACACTCAATATTAACCATCATAGCCAGACATTGTGATTTTACATTGTTGGGTGCTGAGTTTTGTAGTATTCCTTTACATAGTATTGGATGTTGTTCTGGCATGCAGTAATTTGGAATCAATTGAATCCTTTTGATGTTTGCTTTTAAGCTTTGTTAAGGCATGTCAAGAGTAGCTGTAAGTCTAGAACTAGTTTAACCCCACTACCATGGTGATTGTCTTCTGGTAATTTGACCTGATGCTCTATTACAATGTCTTTCCACTTGGGTTGGTTGTCACACAAACCACTTCAGCCCTCTGAAAGCTCTGGAAATTTTTTGGTTTACTAATTTCCAATGGTTCTTTCTAGATTTGGGTTGTTTCCTTTCATGTATGCATAAATTAGTACTTAGTCAAACATCTGGAGGACCTCTCTGGAGATCTCTGAAGCATGCTCATGGTCACTCTCTCTACCTGTGTGTGTGTGTGTGTGTGTGTGTGTGTGTGTGTGTGTGTACCTCCCTCCACTCTGGTACTGTATCTATGAAGATTAGTCACCTTTTACGTCCCCAGATATGATCTACTTGATCAAGTAGACATGATCTACTTGAGTTTTCCCTACATGCTTTGCAATTCTAGGCTGTAAGTTGGGCAATCATAGAACCCACCTTGTTTGATTTCCTTCTCTTAGTCTTTTGCTGCTTGTTGTTCAATGCCTAAAACTCACTTTTTAATATATTTTTCTGGAATTAAAATTTTTTAATAGAGGATAGTAAATATGTTCCCTGTTCTTCCCTTATGTCTTGGAAAAGAAAGTCATTTACACATAAATTATACTTCAGAAAACTTTCTTTTTTAAAAAGGAAAATGATTGTTGTAAATTAATCAGACTCTAGGTGTTTGGTAGTGACAGATGCTTTTTGAGAATTCTTATTTCCTTTAATGATGCATTGAATTTTTCAGTTTCACTCCAGAACTTGGGTATGTTAAAATAAAAACTATAAGTAGACACTTGTGGTTTATATTTTTATTTGACTAATTGTCAAGGGGAAAAAGAGCTTTGGGATAAATCTGATGAGTTCAGTTTTGGATTTATGCTTGAAGTCCTGTTTAATGCCAGATGGCAATGGTCAACAATCAATTGGACCTATGGTTTCTGGTATTCAGAAGAGTTCTGAACTGCAGATAGAGATTTAAGAATCACACTTCGAGAGTGGTAGCTGAAGCTCATCAGGATGGAGTAAATATGGATAGCTGGTAAAGAAGAATCAGAGGAGAAGCAGGTGCAGACCTGGAATCCTAGCAGAAAGGCAGAGAAAGAAAGAACTTACAAAGGAGTATAATTTAGAAAAGTGTTGTTAGAACTAAATTCAATGTCGGCTTTCCCAAAGAAATTAACATCTAGATGAATAAAGAGTACTGTAACCTCATTTACTATTATTAATAACCCTGTGTGGTAGGATGTTTCCTAAGCACTTATTGTCATTTTTTATTCTCTCTTCCCTCTCTTTCTCTTCTCTCCAGTAGGAGGTAGTTATTCAGCCCTTGGATTCTGAGGATGAGATGCCTACATGAGTGGGATATTGCCTGAGATTATGACTAAGGGCCCTTCTGAATCTTGTTGATCATGAAAATTTGATAAAACACAGATTTTACAATAAAATAACAGTAAAAACCAATCAGAAAACTTTGTAAGGTGCTCTGCCACATACACTATTAAGGTCAAAATAGAAGCTCAATATTTTTTCCATGACTGTTATAAATAAATTCCTGGAAAATATTGTAAACTGGTATGGGGCTCCTCACTTATATAACTCGTTTCTGTTTAATTTCTCTCCATCTGAGGTTGAATAACTCTGAGGTTAGAATTGTATTGCTCTTTATGTGGTAAGACAGTTTAGTGTTTGAAATTATGCTTCCATTCAAGGTTTTGGCAGCTAGTGGGTTCTTCCCTTCTCTAAATAATTTAATGAATCTACAAAAAGGAATTAGATTGGTCTTTGATTTGATCACATTTCTTCCCAATAGATGTCATTTTATATAAAGACATTAACCCACAAACAAAGAAGAATTCAGTCTTCTTTGGAAGACTATAATTGGAAGATTTAGAATTATATGGGTAGAGTAAGTTCCTTCTTAAAAATATATTCATTATTGGCAGCAAAAGGAGATAGTCATTTATGGAATGGAAGAGACGGTGAGTTAACATTTGTCAATTTGCCCAGGTGTTTAAAATATGGTTTTCATTCCTTACCACTCAGTGAAATAAGACATATTATTCTCATTTTCTACATAAGAAAATGCCTCCAGGGAGTTAATAACTTGCTCAAGGCCATCAAGTCAGTCCATTGTGATTTGTCTAGTCTGGTTCATAAGTCTTTTCACTTTCTCTATGTCCTGCTGCCTTCAAAGTGCAGGAAGGCAATTTCTGCTGTATTCTGAGATGTCAGAGAGTTTGTATCATTCCAAAAGACTTAGGAATGGAGAGTGGTACAGAAAATAATTTCTACCACCATACCTAATAGATATTTTGTTTGTTTGTTAGTACTGAAGTATGTAAGTACATAGAAGAAAGTAACCTATTTTATTATATGCGCAAGAAACATGTACTTAGAAAATAACACAGGATTTTATCTCGAGGCACCTGGGTTCCAGTTCTAGATCTGACACTCACTAGCTGTGTGTCCTTGAACAAGCTACTTAATTGTCTTAAGGCTTGGTTTTCTTATTGGGAGAAATGGGGTAATAATGCCCACTTCATATTGCTTTTGTAGAAATCTGAATGTGCATCTGGCTTTAGCAATGTTCCAGAAGATTCAAAGAGGCACCTGTTGCCAGTAATTTTTATGTTTGGAGTCCAGAAACAGTTCATGAAAGGACTACCTTAAGGGAATGTCAGATCATAGCCCCTTTGAGTAATGTGAAACTCTGTTGCTGATCCAATGGGTCACAGTAAGGAAATGGAGGCAGGATCCGAAGGTGATATGACAGGTAAAAGTGACAGCCAGTAGAGAGGAGATACACAAAGGGTAATGAGGAGTGAAGTCTGGTAGAGTTTGCTGAAAGTAAAGTGGCTTGCAGCAGTTCTCACATTTATAGGAAGCCATGTGCTGGGCAAATGAATATATGAGAATCAGTATGGAGTGGGAAGCATGAGATGACATTTTAATTGCAAAAGTGTGTAGCATAGTTCCTCACTTAAATAGTCTATAAAATAAATATTAGTACTTTTCCCACATCCTTTATTGGAAGTTTAGTCCTAGAGAGATAAAGGGGTACAGATGAGGGGAGCTATGGATGTCAACAGGAAGAGTTTCACCCTTACATTGGCAACAACCTGGAGCACTACTGTATTGAGGAGGGAGCCATAACATCTGAGTGGTGCTTTGGAAAGATTGGCCTTGCCATGGTGTGAAAGATGAGACGGAGGGATTACAAGCTGAAAGATCAGTTAGGAAGCTGATGCAATAGCCTAGGTTTATGATATGAATCTGAGCTGGGGTGCCACTAGCAGAATAGAGCAGAAAGAAGGAATTTGGAAAACACAATGGAGAAAGACTAAGATTCTGAGATAAAAATTGGTTAGGGAGGAAAAAAAAGAGGTGGAAATGATTTTGAAATATTTAATCAGTGACTGGAAAAGTGGAGGAAACATGAACTGAGATAGAACTCACCATAGTGGGGTTAGGTTTCAGGGCCAGCATTGAGACTGAGGGATTGGGATTCTGAAAAGTGTTGTAGTAAAAGAGGAATTGGAAATTTAGTTGTGGACCTCAGCAAGTTAATAAAGAAGATGAGATGAATCAATATCATATAATTTTAAAATGTAGTCAGAATAGAATAAGAAGGAGATTTCTGCTTTGAACTGCTACATGTTGGGCTAGATAATACTCGAGGACTTCTATGTGCAATATAAAGGAAGAGAAAGATGCAAAAAAAATCACTGCATTTTCTGTGTACTATGTACACAGATATTGTTCTTTGCACTTCACATGCAAAACAAAATTTTACTCCCGAACAATCTATGAAGTGGGTATTATTGGTATCTCTATTTTATAGAAGAGAAACTTGAGGCACAGAGGTGATGATAAAGTTTCCTAAAGTGATATATCTACTAAATTTGAGTCTGGGTTTCAAACCAGGAAACCTGACTCCAAAGCCTCTTAATTGTCATATGATTGTTTTCCCTATGGTACATCTGTATATAACTGGGAAAATGAACACTAATGATAATTAATATATGCATGAAAGTGTTTTATAAATAATAAACATCACATATTTAAACCGCTATTCTCCCTATTTTACAGAGGAGGATGTTGAAGATCAGAAAGGATAAGTATCTTTCTGTAGGGTAAATGGTTAGTAAATAGTTGATTTAAGACTCTTTAGGCTGGCTCCAGCCACTCTGAAAGCCATTGTTTTTCCTACTAACCAGTGCTGTTCATCTGTAAAGCCTGTTTGAGTGTGTGAGTATAAACTCATTGAGGAAAGCATTTATTCAACGAACATATGAATGCCCACCAGGCTCTGACTTAGACACTGGGAACAGTGACATAAGTGATCATTCTTTGGGGCTATCAATGCTCACAGGCTAGTGTGGGAGACAGACATATTAGAAAACAACCACAACAAAATAAGGATAATTCCATATATTGAATACTCTGAGAAGGGAGGACTTTGTAGTTTGCATTTTATTCAATTCACTATATACATATTGACTGCCATTATGTTTTGAGCACTGGGCTGAGAGTTAAGGAAATAGAGAAAAATAAGACAGAATTCCTGTCTTCAGGTTGGCCACCCAAAAGTGGCAGCATTGCTGAGATTCATTTGCTTGAATTTAAATAAATGTCTAGCTATTCCATTCCAAGATATCTAAGTCCTATTTTGCTGCCAGGTTAAATTGAGAAATCTAATCTTTGCTTTTCTTGTGGATATTACACCATGTTTCCTTTCCCCTACATGTACCTAGAGACCCAAGTATCAGGTAAAATCTTTAAGTTCAAATAAGTAGTGATGGATAAAGGTGATATACTGAAGAAATGACTAAATTGAATGTGGGTAAGAAAATGATACTTCAAAAGTGGTTTCATCTTATATGAGCATTGAGCTTTGGCCAGTTTTTACACCTCAGCACCTTGACTGTATTGTATTTCTAGAAGGTAGAGAATATTAAACATTGTTAATGATTGATTGCATCTCAGCTTTCAAGTGTTACATCAAAAGGACCTTTAAAAGAAGGAATTTTATTCTTTTAAAGCATATTGACAGAACTTTTTGATTATTAAAAACTAATGCCCTGGATTTACTACATTTAATCCAAATTTGATCTGAGAGTGAAATTCCTTTTTGGCAGCATCATCAGTAATTTACTGTATTGTGGGCTTTCCCTTCTGGGGCAAAAAATATTGGCTAGGGGAGGTCTGGCTAACACATTGTAAAATAAAGCTGGCAAATGGATTATGTGGGACTTTGCCAATTCTATACCCATCTGAAGATTCCCAAGTGAACCAATACAGCTTTCCTTTACAGCTGCCCTCTGAGAACTGGTAAGCACCTCTGAGCACTCAAAAAGACCTAGGGCTGTGGAAATATACACGTGGAATGGATATTAATAGTCATCTAGCTTACCCACTCTCCTAAATCAGGAATTATTTTATTTGAAAACACCCCTGATAGAGGTTCACCCAGATTCAACTGAATTTAGTATGTTGGAAGGCTACATTTTTATTATTGGTTAGCTCTAAATGCTAAACATCTGATAAAGGTCTCTTAGACACTTCTACCCATAAACTCTAGTTACTTCGCAATGGACTTATCTACCCCCTCTTTAGCATATAGCCCTGCAGATACTTGGAAGAGTTTACTCTTATCCTTACCCAAGTCTTCTCATTTTTCTGGAAAACATAACCAGGTCTTTCAACTATACTGATTGCTCTTTTCTGGACTTTCTGTTTTATCAGAATCCTTTAAAAACTGTGAGGCCCAAACAAATATCCAAGTGTTCAGTCAATTTCAATATACTGCCTATCTGTTGAGCGTCCAGTTATAATCAGTATGATTCATCTCATGTGCCGCCTCTCCTGCCTCCAGTTAATTACCAGTATCTGCCTGGAATGCTATATTAAGGAAGATTCTAATGTTTTCTCTCAGCTCCAATGTGATCTGGGTTCTGATATTATCTCTGCGCTCTGCAGTGTGCCATGGGCACATGAGGTAGGTGCATGAGGTGGAAATAGGTTTGCCATATTGATACCTTAGGTTTAATGACTGTCTGAATGACCATGTCTCCAACTTCTCACATTCCAAATTTCAGATTTTCCTGAATACCAAATCTAAGAAGGCTTGCCACTTGTGTTTTCTCCATTTCCTTTAAGCTTACAGTATCCTATTTACTCTCTGAAAACTTCACTGTACTAATAGTTCTCTGTAGCCCTGCTATTTATATATTGGTAGACAGCAGTGGTGAAGCTTTGAAATATTCTGGCACATAGAAAAATCATATATTTGTCATAAGATGGCTTGTTGAAATAATGTTTTAAAATCAATGGGCGTCTCTGAAGGTTATAATACTAACAATGATTATAATAATAATGATGATAAAATGAGTGGAATTTCACTGTCTTGTAGTTTTTGAATAACTCTCAGATATACTATTTTCTTTGACCCTGATGACATCCTTGACATTATTATTCCCATTTTAAGCTAAGAAGCCTACCTCAGAACATTTAAATAACATTTCCAAGAACACCTAATGAGTATGTCACACGGAATCCAGGGTTTTTTGTTTTACTACGAAATCAGAAACATTTCCCAGGCACGATGGGCTTTGGAAACGTTTGTTCTTATCTTTGCCAGCTAGGCTGCCCTGCTGGTTTAGCAGTAGCTGCCTTTCTCCATTTTTGGCTACAGCTCCTGCCAGGTGCACCCTTTTCCAAGGCTACACTGCTCACGCTGTTCCAGGTATTGCCCATTCGGTACTAGAGGCAGTAATGACTTCCCCCATTGCTAGCCCCTTAGTCTTTCTCCATCCCATGTTGGTTCCCCTATCCCTGACCTTAACTGTAAACGGGCCTTTGATTAAACCCTTTTCAATTATCCCTTTGCGTGTGCCTGCCAGGGTGCTTACTGATACCACTGACCTCAGAGCACACAACATCTCTGCTTCCTTTCTCTGGTTTACAAGGCAAGCTTGGGCCTCAGTGACATTCAGACTGGCTATTAAACAGAGGCTGCCTCATGCTTTGATGGGAACAGTTACCAAGGCACAACTCAATTCTTTTAGCTGGGACTAGTCCTTTAGGAGAAATACTTTCCCAAATTCAGGACCATATTGAAGTTCTAGGGAATTCTCTACAGTTAGGATTATCAGAATTGATTTTCTCTTTTGATACTCTGCCAAGTTTGATTTATTGAATCTATTTATATTTGTGTTAAAATAGCATGTCTTTCTTTCCTCATGTTCTTGGTAAAATAAAAGTTTCAGTTATATTGTCTGTCATCTAAAGGGTTGTGTGTGTGTGTGTGTGTGTGTGTGTGTGTGTGTATTTCCCAAGAAATATATGTGGGACTATATCTTCAAAAATAAAGCTAATGGGGAGAATACAGAAAAGTCTATTTTTGAAATGATCCACCTAAACCATTTAACTGTTTAATGAATCCTAATAGCAGAAATGGAAAGTAGCCCATTAATTCCTGAGCCTTCTAAACATACAGGTCATGATGGCTGAAATGTACTATTATATTTCCTATTTCTCTAATACAAAAGTAGTGGCTTTTCTCTCTTAAGTTATTAACATATTACAATGTATCATCCAAACTTACATATAGAAAACATGTATCACTCAAGGTATCTTAAGGATCTTTTAACAGGGAATTCAGGCTTTCTAAAGTGTTCTAAGGGCTTAAAATGTGGAAAATAGCTGAGTCTTCAAAAAATGTCCCAGAATATCACAAGAATGATTCCAGCCACCACCCCCCTCCACACACACACACACACACACACACACACACACATGCACGCACACACTGGACAGCTTCTGTTTCTGCCGCAGTCCAAAATGTGGGAAATTAGGAGACAGCCACTGGAACTCTTGAGTTTAAGAACATCCCTCAGTGGTTACAGCCAAGGATCAATAAGCCAGATTAGGAGGCATCTGCTGCTGTCATCACAAATGCTCTCAACCTTCACAGATTTGGTAACTGGGAAGTGAACACTGAATCTACTCAGTGCTGTGACTTGACATGTAAGCCTGAAGTCCAGTTGCTGGGATGCCACTGCAGAAAAATTGTCCAAGTCTCAAACAGGACAATAACCTCCACCTTATTCCCATCTTAAAAATCTCAATGTGAGTGCAACCTATTCATCTGACAAAGGGCTAATATCCAGAATCTACAATGAACTCAAACAAATTTACAAGAAAAAAACAAACAACCCCATCAAAAAGTGGGCAAAGGACATGAACAGACACTTCTCAAAAGAAGACATTCATGCAACCAAAAAACACATGAAAAAATGCTCACCATCACTGGCCATCAGAGAAATGCAAATCAAAACCACAATGAGATACTATCTCACACCAGTTAGAACGGCAATCATTAAAAAGTCAGGAAACAACAAGTGCTGGAGAGGATGTGGAGAAATAGGAACACTTTTACACTGTTGGTGGGACTGTAAACTAGTTCAACCATTGTGGAAGTCAGTGTGGCGATTCCTCAGGGATCTAGAACTAGAAATACCATTTGACCCAGCCATCCCATTACTGGGTATATACCCAAAGGACTATAGATCATGCTGCTATAAAGACACATGCACACGTATGTTTATTGTGGCATTATTCACAATAGCAAAGACTTGGAACCAACCCAAATGTCCAACAATGATAGACTGGATTAAGAAAATGTGGCACATATACACCATGGAATACTATGCAGCCATAAAAAATGATGAGTTCATGTCCTTTGTAGGGACTTGGATGAAATTGGAAATCATCATTCTCAGTAAACTATCGCAAGAACAAAAAACCAAACACCGCATATTCTCACTCATAGGTGGGAATTGAACAATGAGAACACATGGACACAGGAAGGGGAACATCACACTCTGGGGACTGTTGTGGGGTGGGGGGAGGGGGGAGGGATAGCATTAGGAGATATACCTAATGCTAAATGACAAGCTAATGGGTGCAGCACACCAGCATGGCACATGTATACATATGTAACTAACCTGCACATTGTGCACATGTACCCTAAAACTTAAAGTATAATAATAATAAAATTTAAAAAAAAAAGAAAAATACTAATTGGTCTCCTGAGCCCCAGCTGCAAAAAAGCCTGGAAAAAAATGTCTTTTAACTTTATAGCTTTCTGACATGCAGGAAGGACTGATACACTAAAAGGAGGTGGGACTGAATGTAGAATACTAAGCAACACTATGCACCCCAGTTTTTCATATTTATCACGTTTGTTCTTCCCAATAACTCCCAGTTTTGTGTGGTCTGTTTGAAGAACCTGGATAATACATAACCAAAGCAAACAAATACAGTAAGTGTGATTATTTAAGTATACATTTTTTCAATGTATGTGCATTATATTAACAAACGTCTATGTTGTTAGGAGCAACCCAGTTTTTCACATTTATCACGTTTGTTCTTCCCAATAACTCCCAGTTTTGTATGGCCTATTTGAAGAACCTGGACTAATACATAACCAAAGCAAACAAATACAGTAAGTGTGATTATTTAAGTATATATTTTTTCAATGTAAATATAAGTATTTATCTCTACGCCAGTAGCAGTGCTGGAAAACTGAGTAGTAGACCTGATTCTAGTATTTATTAACTGTGTTACCTTGGTAAAATTACATAGCCAGCCTTAGCCTCAGTTTTCTCCTCTTATAAATAGTTAAATGGACAATACTAAACTGGAAGTTAGTGGGAAGACCAACGTGATAAATATGTAAGTTACCTATTGTTATGGTTCTCAAACTGTGTGGTAAGGTGTTCTTGGCACCACAAGTCATAGGGACACCTCAAGATATCCCACATTTTAAAGGAAAACACAGTGATGATTGACATTTGCAAAGTATTAGCTTGTGATCGTTTCCATTAGGTGAGTCTCAATATTAGATAATGCTTCACTCCATTTGATGATGTTACACCTTTGTGAAAATGGGTTTTTGGCAGCTACTGTGATGCCAAGCTTGTATTGTATAAAATTCAATGTGAGGGTGGCAGTGATGAATGTGATTCCAAGGTATGAGAAAATGTACAATGGCAAATGGGCCCACAAACCCCGTTAGTAAGTGTTATTGGTTGACTTGGGTCTCCCCACCTTCAAAGTCATATGTTGAAATCGTAACCCTAGTACCTCAAAATGTGACTATATTTGAAGATAAGGCCATTAGGGAGGTGGTTAAATTAAAATGAGGCCATTAGGTGGGCCCTAATCTAATCCGACTGGTGTCCTTATAAGAAGAGAAAATTTGAACACACAGAGAGACCCCAGGGATGCTCACGCACAGAGGAAAGACCATGTGGAAACACAGTGAGAAGGTGGCCATCTGCAAGCCAAGGAAAGAGGCCTCAGCAGAAATCAAAGCTGTCAACACCTTCATCTTGTACTTCTAGCCACCATAACTGTGAGAAAACAATTTTTTTTGCTGTTTAAGCCACCCAGTCTGGGATATTTTATTAACATCAAAACGAGTGATGGCTAATTTTATGAGTCAACTTGACTGGGTCATCGAGTGCACAGATACTTGACTAAATATTGTCTGAGTTTGCCTGTGAGGGTGTTTCTGAGTGAGACTGACATTTGAATTGGCGGACTGAGGAAAGCAGATTGCCCTTCTTAATGTGGGTGGGCCTTGTCCAATCTGTTGAAAGCCTGAAGAGAATAAAATGATGGGTAAAAAGAATTTATTCTCTCTCCCTAACTGTTCCCTAACTGTTTGAGCTGGCACCTTGATCTTCTCCTGCCTTTGGACTCAAGACTTGGATTAGAACTTACATCACTGGCTCTCCTAGTTCATGGACTTGGACAGGAATGATACTATCCTCTCTCCCGGGTCTGCAGCTTGCTGATTGCAGATCTTAAGTCTTGTCAGCCTCCAAAATGTGCAAGCCAATTCTTATTTTATATACATAGTCTCCTTGGAGAACCCTGACTAATACAAAGCCATAGCAAACAAATACAGTTAGTGTGGTTATTTCAGAATATATTTTTTCATATATAATATATATAATATAATATAATGCTTATTATAACAAGTTGTTTTGTACTAACTACTTAATAAACAGAATTATTAGGTATTTCTTTAAGCCTAGGCATGCCATGAAGGAATTACTGAGACACTAAGTACCATGAACTTGAGGAAGTTTAGGAATTTCAGAGCTATGATAAAACGTAACAGGTGCCAATAATGGATGTCATGATGAAGAATGGGAAAACTGTTTTCCTTTTCTAAAATGGTGTTACTTATAGTATGAGGAAATGATTGAGAAGTCTAAGGAAATGGTGTAGATGAATTTCCCCAGAAGAATCAAAAGGCACTCTCAGTTAAGGTACCCACGGCAGAATTATAGACAGTAGTGTCAATTAGCAGAAGCCTGTGGAGGAAGGCAACGTGACTGAGGCCAAGGCACCAAGAAGGGATAAAAGCAGGAGCTGCCTACACTAAAACTCTGTCCCAATCCTCAGGAAAGAATTAACTGGATTTCTCAGATACTCCACCTGTTGTTTGTATGTTTACACTTTTAGAGCCCATATTTATTACTCAAGCCGAGGCAATTACAAAAGAGAAAAAAATAATAGTTATAAGAAGGAATATAAGAGACAAGCTTATTACCTTGTGGCGGGGTAACTTCCAAATCTGCTGGAGTGGATAATGGGCACCCCTGCCGGGCTCAGGTGGAACGCAGCACTGAAACAGGTGCTGCGAGCCATCTTCCTTCACCACATCCACCTGTGGATCAGCTACATCCACCCCATACCCTCCTTTATCCAGAACATCCTGTGGCCTGACAGCCCTAGGGCCTATAGCCAATGGTGCACACCTACCACCCCCAGCTGTGCTGCCAACCCAAGCACTCCCGGGGCTCCCTGTGTGGCCAGCTCCTCTTCTCGGAGCTGATATACCCCTGGAGTCAAAGAAGGCCAAGGTCCTGGTCAGCTCTCCACTCTTCCAGGGTGGCATTAACTGCTGGGGCAGCACACGGCTGCTACAGTGGCAGGCTGGGCACTGCAGTGTGTGTTCCTTTATGTGTGTGAGCAGGCCCTGCTCTTTGTCTTCTCTGTCCCCAGTTCTCCAGGGATTTCGCAGGTGCTGCCTGAGCCCTGCCTGTCACACTCTTCCTTCTGGTTCCCAGGTTGCGGGGAGAGTGAGCAGGAGGCACGAGCTGCCAGCCAGGTCAGCAGGCCTGCTCTCTGTCACTAGCACTTGTTGCCTTGGGACCTGCCTCCTGAAGTTGTGATCACCACACTGTTAAGCTGCTATCCCTAAACCACTAGGCCTGCCCAAGAGCCTCATCCATCCTCCCTCCCAGCAGAGCTGGGATCGTCTCTTCCAGATTCTGGGAGAGAGAGGTTTGCAGAGCCTTGGCCTCTGCCCACAATACCCATTTCCAGTGGGGCGTGCTTCCAGGCCTCCTTGGCTGCTTCCCAGCACCTGACCCTGTCAGGCTTCAGTGGAGGTTCTACCCAGGATGCACTCTGCATTCCTTGAGACTCTGACCCCAAGTATCCTCTTCTTTGGGAGTTTTTCTGCAGGATACACTCCTGGGTCCCCGATGCCTTCCAGCTGTCTCAACAGAGCAATTGCCAGTGGATCTTGGGGAAAGAAGCAGCCACTGACCCCAAGCCAAGACCAAACCATCTGGCCCAGTGAGCCAGAGCCCTCCAGGAGGCCAGCACTAGTGACCCTCATGCCCTGCATTGCACTGAGTTTACTCCTTGATGGACCCTGGAGAGATGATTGCAGAAGAAGCTGCTGACAGGTCATGGGGGTGTCCCTTTGCTTGAAGTCAGCCCATATGGGGCGACCAGGGCTGCTCTGTTAGCAGCCAAGTGCCTGCCCACCCTCTGTCCTTGTGGGAACAGGGCCCTTGGCCAAGTTGTCCATCTGCCCTGGTTAGCTCTAGAGGAAATAGGTCACTTCCCAGGTGCAAGAGACAAGCCCTCCTGGGAAGGTGTGAGCAGCTGTGGGGAGGTGGTCCTAGCATTTAGCCTGCATCTGTTTGCCAGAGTCAGTAGAATCTGGGTGTGGGTGTGAGCGGAAGTGAGTGTGGGATGTGCCTGTGTGAACACCATGATCCCCAGGAGCAGGGAAGCCTGAAGATGCCCAATGGTGTCCCATGCAGTTTGTCATTTTTGAGTTGGACATCTTTGAGATGTGCTGGAGACAGAAGGAGGCTGTGCTCCCTGTCCATCTCTCAGGGGCACTTGCACTGTCTACTCCTGCCCACCAGCTCCTTTGCTGCAGGCCACAAGGACCCTTTGCACCCAGTTGGGAGAGCAGACACTGATGGGGCCTAGGAGAGTCCCCACTAGCCCAACATCCTGCAGGGATGGATCATGAATCCACCTTTTTATTTTTGCTGTGAATGTAAAGCCTCCCAGATGTTAAAGAATAAGAATTTTTAAGAAAACAAAGCCTCTATATCACTACCTATATCATGAAATTAATAATTTGGCTTCTCTAGGAAATGAAGCTGCACAATTCAGATTGGGGTCCAATATCCAAATGGGGCCTTTGCCACTGAGTCAGAAATCCTGTTGGGGATGTCTCAGTGCCTTCAAAGAGGAAATGATGCTGCTTGACCCCAGCCATAGTAAGCAGGGTGAAAGGAGATGGGACAGGGCCTTGGCAGTTTCATGTCACTGTTAGAAAATGCTGTTAAGTAACTTCATATCTTAAACTTCTAAATATATTCTGTCCAAGTGTATGTTGCAGGTAGAAAGAACTCTATTATGCATAGTGAAAAAAGTCTGAGATACAGGATACCATATACCAAACAAAGGGGGACTTGCCTTTAGGAAAGTCCTTAATGTGGACCAACACAGAGAGCCTGGACACATGTGGCATATGTTAATCTTGAAGGCATCATTAATATTTACTAATTTCTCACACTTATTGAGAGCTTTTTATGTACCAGGTACTAATTTAGAGAATTTGCACAAATCAGCTCATTTAAAAATCACAGTGAATTTAGGCCAGATGCAGTGGCTGAAGTTTGTAATCCCCGTATTTGGGGAGGCCAAGGTGGGAGGATCACTTGAGGCTGGAGTTTGAGACCAACCTGGGCAACATAGTGAGACCCCATCTCTACAAAAAAATTGAAAATAAGCAGGATATGGTGGTGCATGCCTGTAGTCCCAGCTACTTGGGAGGCTGAGGTGAGAAGATTGCTTGAGCACAGGAGTTCAAGGCTGCAGTGAGCTGTGATAGCACCACTGCAGTCTAGCCGGCTAGCCTGGGTGCAAGAGCAAGATCCTGTCTCCAAACAAACCAACCAACAAATCACAATGAATTTAAGAGTTTGGCATTATTAGTATGATTGTTTTCAGATGAGAAAAGCTGATGTGTAGAAGGGCTAGTAACTTCTTCAAAGTTACAGAGCTAGTAAGAGATGGAGGAGCCAGGATACAAATGCAAGCGATCTGATTCCAGTACCCTGTGATGTGTCTATTACACTTTACTGTATACATGCAAGTCAGCTTAGATGAGCCCCTTGAAACTCTTCTCCCCACTTCCGCTAGACCTGATGAGTACACACAAAAGGGCTCCAAACTGATGATTCTCCACTGCTATGGTCTGAATGTTTGTTACCTCAAAATTCATATGTTGAAACCTAATCCCCAAGACGATGGTATCAAGTCAGGACTTTGGGAGGTGATTAGGTCATGAGGGTGACACCCTCATGAATGGGATTAGTGCCCTTATAAAATAGTCCCCAGACAGTTGCCCTGCCCCTTCCACTGTAAGGACACAGTGAAAGTGCTAATGATGAACCAGAGCGTGAGCCCTCCACAGACACTGACTCTGCCAGTACCTTCATCTTGGAGTTCCCAGTGTTCAGAACTGGGAGCAATACATTTCTGATGTTTATAAGCCACCAAATCTAAGGTATTTTGTTACAGCAGCCC
Source organism: Homo sapiens (assembly GCF_000001405.40). NCBI lineage: Eukaryota > Metazoa > Chordata > Mammalia > Primates > Hominidae > Homo > Homo sapiens. Next base: position 55,935,988 of record NC_000001.11, on the reverse strand, counting down.
AAATGAACAGGACAACCTCTCTCCTTCAGCCATTCCTTGTACCTTGTCCTATATTTCTTTTTTTTTTTTTTTTTTTTTTTTTTGAGACGGAGTCTCGCTCTGTTGCCCAGGCTGGAGTGCAGTGGCGGGATCTCGGCTCACTGCAAGCTCCGCCTCCTGGGTTCACGCCATTCTCCTGCCTCAGCCTCCCAAGTAGCTGGGACTACAGGTGCCCGCCACTACGCCCGGCTAATTTTTTTTTTGTATTTTTAGTAGAGACGGGGTTTCACCGTTTTAGCCAGGATGGTCTCGATCTCCTGACCTCGTGATCCGCCCGCCTCGGCCTCCCAAAGTGCTGGGATTACAGGCGTGAGCCACCGCGCCCGGCCCCTATATTTCTATAAACTCACCAAACTCTTTATTTGCCAACTCATTCTTAGGTTGATATTCTGTCTTTGGACAAGACATGTGGTCTGGATTTATTGACTTTGACCTTCAGTTTTTCAACAATGATTCCTTCCTGGCTGCACTCCCTTGAGATATCTTGAGTGATGAATGTCCAGGCTCAATTCAGCCCCTGGAATTGTCCTAGCTGTTTTTTTCTCTCTCATGAATTTATTTATTCAATGAGTCTTTATTGATAAAATGAGCCATATGTTGTGCTAGGCATTAGTGTTATGATACGGTTTGGCTGTGTCCCCACCCACATCTCATCTTGAATTGTACTCCCATAATTCCCATGTGTTGTGGGAGGGACCGGGTGGGAGATAATTTGAATCATGGGGGTGGTTTCCCCCATACTGTTCTCATGGTAGTGAATAAGTCTCACGAGATCTGATGGTTTTATCAGAAGATGCTTTTGCATCTTCCTCATTTTTCTCTTGCCACAACCATGTAAGAAGTGCCTTTCACCTCTCGCCATGATTCTGAGGCCTCCCCAGCCCTATGGGATGGTAAAATAAGTCCATTTAAACCTCTTTTTCTTCCCAGTCTCAGGTATGTCTTTATCAGCAGCATGAAAATGGACTAATACAGTAAATTGGTACCAGGATTAGGGTGTTGCTGAAAAGATGTTTGAAAATGTGAAAGCACCTTTGAAACTTGGTAACAGAGAGGTTGGAAGAGTTTGGAGGGCTCAGAAGAAGACAGGAAAATGTGGGAAAGTTTGGAACCTCCTAGAGACTTGTTGAATGGCTTTGACAAAAATGCTGATAATGATATGAACAATAAGGTCCAAGCTGACATGGTCTTAGATGGAGATGAAGAACTTGTTGGGAATTGGAGCAAATGTGACTCTTATTATGTTTTAGCAAAGAGATTGGTGGCATTTTTGCCCCTGCCCTAGAGATTTGTGGAACTTTGAATTCGAGAGAGCTGATTTAGGGTATCTGGCAGAAGAAATTTCTAAGCAGCAAAGCATTCAAAACGTGACCTGGGTGCTGTTAAAAGCATTCCATTTTAAAAGGGAAACAGATCATAAAAGTTCAGAAAATTTGCAGCCTGATGATGCAGTAGAAAAGGAAAACCCATTTTTTGAGGAGAAATTCAAGCTGGCTGTGGAAATTTGCATATGTAACAAGCAGCCCAATGTTAATCCTCCAGACAATGGGGAAAATGTCTCCGGAGCATGTCATAGGTCTTCATGGCAGCCCCTCCCATCACAGACCCAGAAGCTTAGGAGGAAAAAATGGTTTTGTGGGCCTGACCCAGGGTCCCCATGCTCTGTGCAGCCTAGGGACTTGGTGCCCTGCATCCCAGCTGCTCCAGCCATTGCTAAAAGGGGCCAATGTACAGCTCAGCCCATAGTTTCAAAGGGTGCAAACCCCAAACTTAGGCAGCTTCCATGTGATGTTGAGCCTCTGGGTGCACAGAAATCAAGAATTGATGTTTGGGAACCTCCACCTAGATTTCAGAAGATGTATGGAAATGCCTGGATGCCCAGGCAAAAGTTTTCTGCAGGGGTGGGCCCCTCACCTCTGCTAGGGCAGTTTGGAAGGGAAATATGGGGTTGAAGCCCCACACAGAGTCCCTAATGGGCCACTGCCTGGTGGAGCTGTGAGAAGACGGCCTCTGTCCTCCAGACCCCAGAATGGTAGATCCAGTGATAGCTTGTACCATGCACCTGGAACAGCTGCAGACACTCAACACCAGCCTGTGGCAGAAGCCAGGAGGGGGGTTATACCCTGCAAAGCTACAGGGGCAGAGCTGCCCAAGACTATGGGAACCTACCTCTTGCATCAGCATGACCTGGATGTGAGACATGGAGTCAAAGGAGATCATTTTGGAGCTTTAAAATTTGACTGCCCCACTGGATTTCAGACTTGCATGGGCCCTGTAACCCCTTTGTTTTGGACAATTTCTCCTGTTTGGAATGGCTGTATTTACCCAATACCTATACCCCCATTGTATCTAGAAAGTAACTAGCTTGCTTTTGATTTTACAGGCTTATAGGCAGAAGGAACTTGCCTTGTCTCAGATGAGCCTTTGGACTATAGACTTTTGGGTTAATGTTGAAATGATTTAAGACTTTGGGGAACAGTTAGGAAGGAATGATTGGTTTTGAAATGTGAGGACATGAAATTTGGAGGGGCCAGGAGTGGAATGATATGGTTTGGCTCTGTGTCCCTACCCAAATCTCCTCTTGAATTGTACTCCCATAATTCCCATGTGTTGTGGGAGGGACCCAGTGGGACATAATTTGAATCACAGAAGCAGTTTCCCCCATACTGTTCTCATGATAGTGAATAAGTCTCACAAGGTCTGATGGCTTTATCAGGGGTTCCTGGTTTTGCATCTTTTTCATTTTCTCTTGCCGCCGCCATGTAAGAAGCGTTTTTTGCCTCCCGCTATGATTCTAAGGCCTCTCCAGTCATGTGGGACTGTAAGTCCAATTAAACCTCTTTTTCTTCCCAGTCTTGGGTATGTCTTTTCCAGCAGCATGAAAACAGACTAATACAACTTATAATAGTGAAGAAGACATAGTCCCAACCCTCCAGAGTTTACAGTCTAGTGGAGAAGTCAGTCAAATAATCTATATAGAGAAATATGTTAAGGCAGGGCTAGAGGTACCTAGTGAAGGAACTTAGCCCAGTCTTAGAGATTTGAGAAGGATTTTTTTTTTTTTCCACACGAGGTGATATCTAAGCTGGAATGAAAAACAGGAATTATCCAGGATAAATGGGAGTAGTTATTATAGTTGGAGTTTGGGGCAGGGGTGTATGTGTATCTGGTGGTAGATGGGTGGAGAAGGTAAGAAAGGTAAGCTATCTTAAGGAATTTGCACTTTATCCTGAAAGTAATGGGAAGCAATGGAGAGTTTAAACTATGTGGTTAAACTTGTGTGTTTGGAATATCATATCATCTTTTCTATAGTGTAGAGAGTCATAATCAGGGTTTATGACAATTGCCGGAGACAAATAAGGAAATCATTACAGCAATGTAGGCAAAGGACAAACTTAGGAATTGGAAAAAGAAATGTACCTGATTTTCCCAGATAATTGAATGCCCCAGAGATGACAAAATATCATTCTTCTTTGGATTCTTTCTCTATCTTAATATTCCTGTTGGTGCCACTAGTAATTCCATGGACTTTTTGGAATCAGCAAGAATATTCTCCTGGGGCCCTTCTCAGCTACTTAGCCTTACATGGTAACTCCTCATTTTTCAATAGATTTTCATTTTCCCCTTTCACAGCTCCTCTCACCTCACCAGTTATTATTTGACCTTTCATCTTCTGAAGGCTGACTAGCATGCAACAGCTTCCTTGGATTTTTTTAGCTGACAGATGTGATCTAAAGTTATCTGCCATTGCCTTAAAATAAAGGGATCAGAACACCAAAACTTCTCTGCTCTTTAAAGAAAGGATGATAAAATAAGTGTTGGGGTGGTGGTAATGGGAAGACCATACCTACTCCTGGTTTCCATCTGTGCACACTCAAAGCACTTACCGATGAGAAATGCTAGAGGCCTTGGAATTTTTCATCTAAGAATATTTTTTAATTTGAGATTCCATGTGGTCCAAGTTGCACATGGCCAGAATTTTTGCAAGAAAGGATTGGAACCTTCTATTTCTCAGTGTTATTGCTCATAAAGGAAGGACAGTGATTATTTTATAACTTTTTGAGATAGTAGAAACAAGACTGGACTTGTCAGAAAGCTGAGTTTGGAACTCAGTAGATGTGTGAGGTAATAATCCACATACCATAGGGGATTTCATAAAGTAAATCAGAAAGCACGAAGCCATTTTGGCCCCTGTGCATAGCTCTTGATTGAAATTACCCTCGTCAAGGTTACCAACAATGGCCATGATGTGAAATCCAATGACATTTTCATGTTTTTGTCTTCTTAAGCCTTTCAGCAGTGTTTAACGCAGCTGATCATCCACCCTTTCTAAAAACATTCTCCCCTCTTAGCTTCTACATTTGGCTGCTTTTCCACTTGGATTTCTTCCCAGGCTCTTCTGCCAGTTTTTCTTCTTTTATCTGGTGGAAATGTTGGTGATCTTAGTTGCAGGCTTAGTTGTCTAACTCATTTCTCCACACCCCCCTCAATGTGCTCTCACTTGACATTTCCATTGGTATCTTTCACAGACATCTCAAACTTAACATGCATATGCCAGATACTTATCGGTTGATTATCAATCCAGAATTTGCTCTCTTGTGGTCTCCTGGATGGAGGACTGGAAGCCTGCAAATGACAGGCCCCAGACTCCCAGGCCTGCTGAATTCCCATCAGGTTCTGCCAATAAAACATACTACAGGGAGATGAGAAAGGACAAGAAATTAAGAACAGTTCAGCAGTTGGCAGTACCTCTGGCAATGGCAACCCTGAAATTTTCTGCTCAGTAGCAGTTGTGACCATTCCAGAAATTTCTGTGATGGCACTTTGAGCAGCTGCAGCAATTGAGGGAACAATGAGATTGAAGCATTTGGTGGTTCCAGTGCCATCAGCGGATAAGTGCAGCTCACGAACTCTAGCCCATTGGTGGCAGGACCTTTGTGTTGCTGGAATACCCCATTCCCCTTTCACTCTCCCCTCATTTCAACACTGTTATGAGAGCCAACATATCCATCAGGCACAGTACCTTGGGCCCACAATTTAGAGGCCAAAGAAACGTTTTCATTTTTATTTTTTCATCAGAAGAAAAAAATAAATATATGACAATGATGCTAGCTTAGATTATATTTGTCATTACACCAATATAGTCATAAAACATTTAAAAAAGATTAATGGAGGAAAAGGCCCAAGAAATTAAAAGTGCAAAGAGCTATGAAAGTTATAATGCACCCCTGACCTTTGTGGCCATTTTCCTGCAACAGATGCTTCTTTGGAAAAAATATCTAGTAGTTTCTGTATTCTTTTCCTTTTAACTTGACACTAGCTAATTCTATGACCCCAGTGGTACTTTTGATTTCTGCCTCTCAAACCCCAGTTAGTCCCCACCCTTCTCCATCTTAGGGAATGGCACCACCATCACAGAAGAGGCCATGAACCAGGAGTGATGTCTCCCTGTCAACTTGTCTTCCTGTTTGGCATGCTCTCCTCTGATTGATCTCCACCCTTCACCAATTTTACGTATACCTATCCTTTCCTAATTGGTTTTCTACACTGTCATGCCCAACTTTGAGTAGTGTCTTTTGCTTTAACCATTTTTGCATACTCACAAACAAATCAGCATGCACTCCGTGTCCGGTGCCTATAAAGACCCCAGACTCGGTAGGTAGAAAGTGAGATGGCCTGACCTTAGGGAAGAGACAACCTGACTTTGGGGAAGAGGACCTGAACTTCCCATCCCATCTCCAGCTCTCCTTTCTGCTGACAGCCATTTTCATTGCTCAATAAAATTATCTGCCTTCACCACACTTCAACCATCCATGTGACTTCATTCTTCTTGGATGCTGGACAAGAGCTCGGGACCCACTGAGTGTGGGTACCTAGAAATGTTGTCACACCGGCCCTTTGCCTTCAGTGGCAGAGGGCAGCCACCCCATGCAATGAGGCAAGGAGCCAACTGAGCTACTAACAGGCCACTGTCAATGGCTGGTGGAACTAAAGAAGCACTGTAACACCCCCTCTGGGGCTTCAAGGTCACAGGCACCCTCACTTGGGGGCTGTTGCATTCCCCTTGTGGTGGCACACCTGCTCTGGATGCAGGCCCTGCACGGAGCTTGCTCCATGAAGTGGCTGGCCAGTTCTGCACTTGCTCACTCATGTGCTCCCTCCAGCAAGGGGTTGAGCACTGTGGGCTGAGTAGATGGCACCCCTTCTGAGAGTCCAGTAAAGGGGCTGACAAAAATCCTGCAACACAGTGACTCTAGGCTCATGTCCTCATGTCTTGCTGCAGATACTATCTCATAGATAACTTGACCTGAAATTGCCTCCACTCCTCCAGCATTCCTATTATACCCTTGGAGATGTTGAAAACCTTGTTTCAGACATTAGCTCTAGCATTTCATAATTCTGTGACCTCTCAGCCTCTGAGATCTTTTTCCTCATATGTAAAATGAGAATAAATGTTACCTTATAAGAGCATTGTGAGAATTTAGAGGAATAAAATGCATAATGCTGATCCATGGTAGGTCCTCAATAATGGTATTTTTCCTGATCAAAATGTTACCAGCAATATTTTAAAATTAACTTTTGTTTTTTATTTAGGAGTCTACCTACTTACCAAGCATAGTAAATAAAACAAAAACAACATTAAGGAATAAAAACATCTTTTTCACTCTACTTTAGCAAGTGCTTTATAATTATACTGGAAACTGAGAATCTTGGGGTGCACCATTTCCAAATGTTTTGGTATTAAATATAGGTCTATGCCTGCATATGTAGTATACTGGGGACTCATGAGACAAGTAACATTGAATTCCTCACATGAGTGTGTTTTATGAGTGTTTTCCTGAGGATCATAGTAGAGGCATTTATGGCTGCAGAAAAGGAGACTTTTCTAGAGTCATTTCATGGGGCAAGAGACACCAAAATGGTTATGAAACAGAAAAGCACCTCTGCATAGCACGTCTTTTGGAAAGCCGTTCTGCTAAGAACTTGGCATCACTACCCCTTTTTCCCTGGGTCATCTTCATTTGCTGTGTTCCCCAAGGAGCTGTGAGATGTAAAAAACAGGTGAGGTTTGATTGTAACCGCTTCTGCTACTGAAAGATTCCACTCTTTAAAAGCAAAAATTTAAAGAGGATAAAACTGCCTACAAAGGATTTTTTCCTTTGGACAACCCTACCATTTATGACACACACAGCTCAGCCCTTGGCTGCCATTAGCACTGAGAAAACTGTTGAGCCCTTTCCCATGTATTTTGTACTTCTAAATATTACAGCTGCCACTTGGATTTATGTGCTTCAACAGAAGCAGCAGACAAAGAAGTCTATGCTTGTGAAGAAACGAAGTAACAATCTAAAAGAGTAATCAAAGTGAGGAGCAAATTTGGATTGGATTTATGGATGCCCCACCACACATACCACATACCCCCCTGCCACACACACACACACACCATGCAGACACACACACATTGCTAGGACAAGTGTGGCTACCTCAAAGACAGAAATGCCAAGTACTTTTTCTTACCAAGAGAGCAGTTTTCTTTAACAAACTGTTTACTGCTTGCTACACAGCATACTTTCTTTTAGCAATTGATATGATGACAATTTATTTTATATTATAAAATTAGTGAACACCACTACTTATCTATCACCCCAAAAACAAAGAGAAAAGAAACATTAAAGAAAGTAATGTATGAAAACTATATCAAGGTTTATTTTCCAAAATATTAGTACACAAATATCAGTAAGTGTTCTAAAAAAAAAAAAAGGAGATCTGTGGTCAAACAGAATTGGGAAATGTTACTTTAGCTGAGGCTAAACAAATCTCTTTTGCAAGAGTTCTTAGAACCTTTATTTATTTATTTGCATTATGAATCTCTGAGACCAGAATATGTTATGTAAATATTTTGATAGAAACACATCAATATTTTATGAGAATAGCATGAAAAAAAGAGTAAAAAAAATTAAAGTTCCTGTCCTTAAGACAGTCATTGGCTAGTGGAGAAAAAAACCCATAAACAGATTATTAAAATCAAGTGATTAAAATGTAAAAATTGTGGTAAATACAGAGAGGACTGAGGAAAACCAGAAGGAAGGAACTATCTAGGCAGGGGAGTCAGTGCTTCCTGGATGAGGGGGCACTGGAACTGTACCTTAACAAATGAGTGGCATTCTTCCAATTTCATCTACTTCAGTCTACCGTCTCTGACCATCTACCTGGAATAAACAATACTTTATCTTCACTAAAGCTCATTGCTTTCCTCTTTTGGCAATTATGTACATTTGCCTTTTGTTGTCTTTGGAAGCTAGATAGATCTAGATCCAAATCTCAGCTCTGACTTCTACTGCCTCTGATCTTCTGCAACTACCTTAACCTCATCTGTTTTTCTGAATTGTCAGGGGAATTAGAGATCATCTAAGTAAAGCACCTAGCAAAGTGCCTGAAACATAATAGGCTTAACCATTTGGGCTATTATTGATGCAGGATTTTTCTTGACCCCTTTGCTGAACTCATGGCAGGGGTGCCCCCTCTACTCAGCCTACTGCACTCAACCCCTTGTGGGAGGGAGCACACGAGCGAGTGAGTGAGGAACCCAGCCAGCCGCTCTGAGTGCCGATACAGGAACAAGCTTCCTGCAGCGCCTGTGGTCAGATCAGGTGTGTCGCCTTGAGGGGAATGTGGCAGTGCCCATGTGAGGGTGCCCATGATCCTGAAGCCCCAGAGGGGATGTTACAGTGCTCCTTTAGTTCCACCTTCCACGGACGGTGGTATGTTAGCAACTCAGTTGGCCCCTTGCCTCATTGTGTGAGGTGGCTGCCCTCCACCAGCAAGGGCAAAGAGCCAGCGTGACAGCGTTTCTGGGTAACCACACTTGGTGGGTCCCAGGTTCTTGTCCATTGTCCAAGAAGAATGAAGTCATGCAGATGATTGAAGGATGGTGAAGGCAGAGAATTTTATTGAGCAATGAAAACGGCTCTCAGTGGAGAGGGAAACTAGAGAGGGAATGGGAAGGGCAGATGGTCTTCCCCAAAGTCAGGTTGTCTCTTCCCCAAAGGCAGGCTGTCTCCCCCTCTACCAACTGATTCTGGGGTCTTTATAGGCACAGGATGGGAAGTGCATGCTGATTGGTTTGTGAGTATGCAATAAATGTTGAAGCAAAGTCACCACTCAAAGGTGGGCATGACAGCATAGAAAAACAATTAGGAAAGGGTAGGTATAGGTAAAATAGGTGAAGGGTGGGAATCAAGAGGAAAGCATGCCAAACAGGAAGACAAGTTCTCAATCCAGTCTAAGGATTTAACTTGTACCTAGTCTTTTAGGCTTTAAACTGTCTTTGGCTTGGAGGTGGGTTTTCACTGGGGACCTACCCCTATCTGCCTAGGCATTTGGCTGCCTCCTACTGTTTTTATTATTTTTTTATTAGTTCTTAAAATTGGAATAGATTTACAGATATCTAATCTAAGCATTCACTGGATATACCAATTCCATTCATGGTATGTTTATATTACAGCTTCTGCTTGAAACTCTACTTTTACACAATTTTATTTAATATACTCTCAGACTCTGAAAGACATAGTGCTATACCTGTGTTACATACAGAATGAATCAAGCACAGCTCTTGTCCTGGATCATATGTTCTCAGTCTAATGCTAGGGCAGGGTGATGCTGGAGAAGGTAAGAGCATAACAATAAGCATAATAGATGGGGAAGCCCATGGGCACTAATGAAGAGGTGAAGATAAGACATCATAGGAGCAAATACCCCTGCCCATTGGCATATGAAAGGCAGATTCCTGAAAGGATTGACATTTAAGCTGAGCCTTAATATATGGGTTATATATGGTTTTAAGAGATTAGCAATGGAAAAAATCCAGGAGAAAAAAACAGCAGAAGCAATGTAATAACTTGTCAATTTGGCCAAGTCATTAAGCTAGTATGAGTAAATCAATGGGTAATAAATATAAAATCAGAAAGGTAAATTAGTAACAGATCACAAAGTGTCAAAACAGTTCACCATCTACTTCTGTCAATATGTCACATTCGACAGCTCCATAAAACACAACAAATACCATTTAAAGGCATAAGTGAACCAACAAGAAAGGAAAATCCACAGAAACTAAAAAAAAAAAAAAAAAACAGAAACAAAAACCCTGCACACCTCACCAGTAAGTTCATAAGGAAACCCTGGGACTAAAAAAGCTCTTGACTTTTATGCATGTAAATGGACGAAGAAGGAGATATTAGGCCTGAAATGTTGGGGATAGAGGGAAGCATAACTGACATCTACCCACAGTTTAAGTGCTTTCCTAGGGCTACAAAAATAGAATAAAAGGTTTAAGAAATCTATCATTATAGGAAGGCACAAATAAAATTTGTTTGTCAACCTGGCCACAAAATTAAAATTTTCATTTCTAGTGATTTATTACAAAAGACTTTTGCCACTTAAGACTGGAGTGTGACAATCTTTGCAACAGCAACAGTAGTGAATCAATGCTGTATGAATGATCTGGAAAACTACAAGCTGAGAAATTAACATAAAAGGGATACACACAGCTATTATTTTGGGGGCTCCAAGAAGAAGCAAGCACAAATCCATTTGATGGGCCATACCTTCAAACAAGTTTACAAAATGTTTCCCAAGTTAAAACCTCATTGAAAATTAGCTCACAAAGAAAAATTACATAGTTCCTGAAGTAACAATCACTAGGGAAAGGTAGCAAAGCAATAGCAACAGGCCTCTAAGAACTTTAGATAATAGATAGAAACTATTAGGTATGTTTAATATGATTAAAGGTACAATCTTTAAAATGACTAAAGATATAAAAGATATATATGAAAGAAGGATGAGACATCATTAAAAAGATGTATTTGAGAAAGAATATATAAATGAAAAACACAGTTGTTAATATTAAAATTGGAAGGAAGTATAAACAGTAGCCTAAAACAAGCTTAAGAAATAATTAGTGAAATGAAAAATAGACCTGAAGAAACTACTAAGTACAGACAGATAAACATTTAGGAAATTTAGGAGACATGGAAGATGGAATTTAAAATAAGATAAACAGAAATGGCAGGAAGAGTAATATGTGAAAAATGACAACTATAATATTTACTTTTTTTTTTCACTAATTTCACTCACCACTATGAATACAATCCAACTGCTATCATTGTTTGTCAGGATTATTTTAGTAGCTTCTTCACCTGGCCTCCCTGATTCTGTCCTTATCCCTAGAGTCTGCTCTCAACATTTGAAACTTAAAAAAAATAAAAGTCAGACTCTGTCAATCCTCGGCTTAAAACCTGCCAGTAGCTTCCTATCTCATTAGTGGTAAAAGTACTTAAAATAATTTATATCCTGTTAATTCTCAAAATATGTTCCATGTTCATTCTGCTCCAGCCATACCTACTTCCTTGCTGCCTCAAATACTTTAACAAACCAGCACATGTACCCCTGAACTTAAAACAAAAGTTACAAAAAGAATACAGATGCTCCTCAACTTACAGTGTAATTACATCCCAATAAACCCATCATAAGTTGAAAATATTATGTGTTAAAAATGCTTTTAATACACTTAATCTACTGAACATCATAGCTTAGCCTACCCTACTTGAGTGTGCTCAGAACACTTACATAAGCCTTACATTACAGTTGGGCAAGACCACCTAACACAAAGCTTATTTTATAATAAAGTATTTAACATTTCATGTAATTTATTGAATACTGTACATTAAATTGAGATTGTGAAAATTTCACATCATTGTAAAGTTGAAAAGTTATTAAGTTGAATCATTATAAGTCAGGGACCATCATACTGATAACCAACAACATTTCTTATCACACTTAGGGTATTTTAGATTTTGAAGGAGAATCAGAAAAATTATATCTATGGAAAATTATAGAATTATCTAATGTTCATTCAGTAGTCAATTTATAAACATATGGAAATAGAACTAAACAAGAGTTTAAGTTTTCTAATTTAAAGCTGTTTTCCTAAATGCGGCACTTATTTCACTGGTAATACTGAATGATTGTAGTTTTCACACAGACAATTTAATTATTATTAAATTTATAAATTTATCTTAATAAATATTCAAAAAACAAGTTCCTACTTAGGTTGAAGCTAACATAAGTAGTACCTCTACTCCATCTCTCTGCATTTTTTGGCAATACATTATACACTCTTTGGGTGGTATGTGAATAAGGTAAATAACAGGAAGGTTATTTGCAAATGTCCAAAGTTTGAAAGTCAGGAAACCCTGCTGCAGGCCAAACTTTAGTTTAATATATAAAGAAATGGAAACTCAAGAGAAAAATACTTCAACCCTGCTTCTACCTCAGTTTTTGAAATTTCAGTTCCCTCTGTTTAAATGCTTTTCCCCTAGATATTGGCAAGGGTGCTTCCTTCAAGTTTTTACACAAATATCATCTTGTGAATAAGGCCTTCCCTAATAATTCTATTTAAAATAGCAAAAATCCCATCTCTACCCCCAGAATTCCTCATTACTTTACCTTGAACATATTTTATGGCATTTGTCACCTATAAAATATATTTTACCACTTATTAATTATTTTTGTTCATCACCTTTTACCACTCCACCCAAGAATATAAACTCTGTGAATGATAATGTCAAAACAAGTAGAAATCAATTAAAGCAGTAATTGGAGAAAAAATTGTAACTTGACATTGCTGTATTATAAACAAAAGGCATGAAAATTAAAACGCTAGGCTTACAATTTAATAAATTGGAAACATTTTTGAAGTGTAAACCCAAAGAGCACACAAATGAAGAAATAAGAAGTATGAAAATAGAAATTAAAGAAATAGAAAACAAACCTATAATAGAGAGAATTGTTAAAATCAAAAGCTGTGTTTCATTATAAAAATTAATTTAATATAATAGAAGAAACTCTGGAGAAGTTAGTCAGGAAACAAAGTAGACAGCAAAGTTAATCATAGGCCTTAAAAGTTTGAAAAGTGGATGTATTATAAAAATAACAGAAAATGAAAAATATTAAAGCTAATCTCTGGAAAACTTTGCTAATAAGTTTGAAAATGTAGAAGAAATGAGCCATTTTCTAGAAAAATGTAGCTTACCACAACTGATTTAAAGAGAAATTGAAGAAAAGAAAAACACCTAAACAAATCTACAAAATGAGGTAGGAAGGATTATAAACTATACATGAAGAAGTGTGGTAACATTCATTTGTAAAAGAAAAAACAAGTGTATCCTCACTCCTCTACCACATACAAAAATACATTTCAGTGGGATATATAGAATATAATTTCTACGCACATTTTAAAACCTAGTAAATGTCATGAATTATTTTTAGACATACTCTATTGCATATATAATAGAAAGACAAAAACACTTGCATGAATGATGCACATCAAATTAGGACATTGGTTACTTCTTGGAAGAGTGGGAATTTGATGAGATGAAGGATATCGCAGGAGCCTACAACTCTAGCTCTAACTTTCAGACTCATTTTAGAATAAAAATGATTCAATCATAGCAAAAATCTGAAATAGCAAAATGTTCAGATTTGGCAAGGCTGGGTTTTGGATATATGGGTGCTCATTTCATTATTCTTTGTATTGTTAGTAACTTTAAATATGTAATTATTTAGAAATGAAGTCTAAGCCAAATGATCTGCCTTTTTTCCTATGAGCAGTGAGGAATTCTTGAAGTTCTTTAGTAGGCGATCTGACCATGTAGAGCTTCAAATGCCATCACAAAAACCTGAGAGTTCTCTCTCTTCCATCTCATAGAAAGAATCTCAGCAGAACTCAATTCAAATATCCAAAATGGACAGATACAAACAGGATTAACCTTGTTAAGCCAACCATGGAAATAAAAGTGCTTTACTGAGAAATTTTCTGCAGAGAGTAATATATGTTTTTAAATATTGCTTATAAGGCATCCAAAGACAACCACACAACATTATGCAATCTGGAAAATAATTAATTTAAACTGATTGTGTTTGGAGCTGGGAAAGCTTCTCCATGAAAGTGTTTTGAATCTAACAACACTTTTGTGATGTGTTACAGTCAAGGCAGAAGCAAAAAGCAAAGTGTGTGCTTCTCCCAACTGCAACTTTTAAAAGAGTGTGTATAGAAAGAATCATTTAAAAACTATGTGTATTTATATATCATCTGCTTGCCATAGCTTATGTAATATTTTGTAGAATTCTAATCCCATTAATTATGTTTTATATTTTTCAATTTTTCTGTGTAATATGTAATTATTTCAACCTATGCCCTAGTTTTGTGTGCTCTATTATTTGGCTGGAATTCAGAAGGGTTTGTCTCTGAGAACACTGAGAAGATACCAATCTTTCCCACTCAGCTCATCTTCTCTGATCTAAGCAGCTCTATTTTGTGAATGTGCCCCCACGACTTGAATAGGACAAAGCATTCAAGACATAGTGTTTCCATAAATGATTTAATCTCACTGAGACACAAGTTTTATTCCCTCAAGAAATAAAATCTAATGCCAAATATGAATTACTTTTCATTTTTTCTGTTTTTTTTCTCTTTCCAAGGCTGACTGCATAGATAAAAGAACAAGAGGGTCAAATCCATTAACTGGGTAATTCAACTTTAGTCAGTACATTTTACGCAAGATTACAAGATGAGACAAAAGTGAGGATTTTTCCATGTTGAGTTATTTGCTGGAATCTTGTCACTGAAAGTATTCAGTAAAGATTGGGTATCTACCTTTATGGGATGGGAAGTTAAAAATAGAAGGAAAAACTGGGGGAAAAGGAAAGGAATGAACATTTTCTGAACACTTGACTACGTTCCAGGTACTTCAGGCAAATCATTCAAGTGAAATCTAACTACCTCAATGGAGTTTTTTGTGTGTGTCGTTTATGCCACTGATGACAAACAGAGACCCTAACAAGTGGAAAAATAGACCTTAAGACCAAGGGGTGGGCATGGAGGTGCACTAGTCAGATCTCCATTCAGGAAAAGCTGCTGCTGGAAGCATAGGTGAAAATGTGGCTGCATCTTCAGATCTTGACATTCATGCTAAGGCCATACTTCACCTGCCCTGCCTCCAGGACATGACAGAACACAGCAGTGGCACCATAGTTAGTCCACTCCTGCTTAATGCAGGAATCCTATAAATCTGCTCTGAGATCCTGCATTGGCCTAGCCAGGGATTTCTCAGGACCATAATCAGAACTGCAGCTCCTCAATAGCCTCCTTCCTTCCCACCCCCCCTTTCACAGGTGCCAGAACGGCATCACCTGCCTTCTCTTGTCCCATCCATCTTTATCCTTCATAACCACTTTCCACAACAAGCCTCTTACACATCTAATCCTGTCTTGGCATCAGCTTCTCGAAAGACCTTACCTGACACAGGCCACAGAACAAATAGCTTTCAGCTTTCAGTGAATAAGCTTGAAGATCTATTGTACAGCGTGGTGATTATTGTTAATAATCATGTATTATGTACTTGAAATTTGCTAAGAAAGCAGATCTTAAGTGTTCTTACCACAAAAAAAGAAAATAGTATAATAACTATACGAGATTACACGTGTTAATTAACTTGATTATGGAAATCATTACACAAAGTATAGTTACATAAAAATGCTATGTTGTACATCTTAAATACACATATATTTAAATTTGTAAATTATAACTCAATAAAAACTGGAGAAAAACCCTAGTAAATGTCAGAATTAGGATCTGATGCCAAAAAGGATGCAGGAATCCTATAAATCTCACTCTTTCAATATTGATATTAATACTACTAGTAATACTAATATTGATACTACTGCTAATAATTAACATGATATATACTATTTATTGAGTGTTAACTATGAGCTAAGTATTGTGCTTTCATGCGCTATTTTATTCAGTTTTCATTAAAATTTTATAAGACAGATATTATCTGCATTTTATAGATGAGGACACAAAGAGATATCATTAACTTATCCAGATTACATCATTATCCAGCAGCATATCCAGGATTTGGACTTGGATCTGTGTGGCTCTAAAATCTATGTTCTTACCCACTGTATTCGTCCATTTTCATACTGTTATTAAAAAATGCCCAAGACTGGGTAATTTATAAAGAAAAGAGGCTTAATTGACTCCCAGTTCCACATGGCTGGGGAGGCCTCAGGAAACTTACAATCATGGCGGAAGGCGAAGGGGAAGTAAGGCACCTTCTTCACAAGATGGCCGGGAGGAGAAGTGCAGAGAGAAGTGTAAAAGATCTCATGGGAACTCACTGTCACAAGAACAGCACTGGGGAAATCACTCCCATGATGCAATTACCTCCACCTGGTCTCTCCCTTGGACACATGGGGATTACGGGAATTACAATTCAAGATGAGATTTGGGTGGGGAAACAAAGCCTGACCATATCACTCACCTGTGCAGTTTTTATACTTTCATTAATTTTTATGTTTTATGGCTATTATTTGATGGGTTTTCTTCTACTGAAGATGAGAATAAGCAACATATATTTATAAAACATTAACTCTGTGGCCAGTTTTTGGGTTATATCCTGAGGATTCAATAGAATAAAAGTCCTAATTTCTGCCCTCAAGAAAGTCATTATTAATCTGCAAGTTTATTAACAATTTAATGAAAAGAAGCTATTGATACCTATGAAACGAAGCAACCAAGAAGCTAGACAAGTGTATGGTAGTTATTAAATGGTGTTAGCTACTCTTCTGAACAGAGTAATATAAAAATAAACACATCAACTTCAAAGCCAGTGAAATTTCAAAATAGCAAAAAAGCAAAATAGTTCCTATTAGCTGGAATGGAGGAACTAGGGTTTTAAAATCTTGTAAAATTTGAAGAGGTCCAAAATACAGGATATCAAAGTAAAGGTGAACAATACAATTTGCTAACAGGAGGGGAAAAAGTCAATCCTTAAAATTAAGTCAGATTCAAGGAGAAATAGAACTGCCCACTTGGTGTCACTTACATTTCCTCCATGCACACATGTATCATGTTCCTTCAGAACATATTGGAATGTAATATAATGGAAATAGTATGTACTCGACAGTCAAACAGAACTATAACCCACAAGACTGTCAGTGTGAACTGGTTAAACAATAAAATCATGAACTAGGGCAACAAGAGAATGTTTAATGATGCTACATGGGAAATTTAATGTTGTCCAGGTTTCTCCCCAGTGGAGGAGGCTGCTGTAATCTTGGACTCCATCCAGAAATTTACCCTTCCTAACTCAAGGACTCTTAAAATACTTCCTCCTGCCATGCAATGGAAGAAATAACATGTGTATTTTTAAAAGACAGACAAAAAGATACATACTAAGCCTTAACTGAAAAATAAAGAGGCAGCTGGCCTGAGTACACAGACCACTAAAAATCTGTTGGGTCCTATAAGCAGAAATAAAAATCAAGACTTGATATTTAGTAACTTTTTACCTGTCATTTGTTAGTATCTGGAGACCAAGCAAAATTTTCTTACCAATTCTTTAAAGAATCCTCATGATATGGTTTAGGTCTGTCTCCCTGCCCAATTCTCATAATGAATTATAATCCCCAGAGTTGGAGGTGAGGCCTAGTGGGAGGTGAATGGATCATGGGGGTGGATTTCCCCCTTGGTACTGTTCTTGTGATAGTGAGCTCTCGTGAGTCTGGTTGCCTAAATATATGTGGCATCTCCCTCCACTTCTTCCTGCTCTGGCCATATGAGGTGCTCACTCCTACTTCGCCTTCCACCATAATTGTAAGTTTCCTGAGGCTCCCCAGAAGCCCAGCAGAAGCCAACATCATGCTTTCTGTGCAGTCTGCAGAACCATGAACGAATTAACCTTTTTTCTTTATAAATCACCCAGTCTCAGGGATTTATTTATAGCAGTGTAAGAACAGACTAATATACCTCAATATTTGAAGTAAACCCTGAAAAACACAAACAGTTTCATAAAAATAGTATAGAGACCTCCCATTGCAAATAATCAGGACCCCAGAGCAAAGCTGTTTTAGGTCCATAATGGGGGAAAGACTCAGAAGCTAATCTGAATAATTTGGATGAACGAGCAGTTGAGACCAGACCAAAATTGAAATTGTCCCTGGCTAAAGCCTTCCTCCTCAATGAGAAGGAACACAATGCTATTATCACAAACCTGCTGCATAGAATCTGTTCCTCTGTTTAATGATGCTTTAGCCAATTGTAGCACAAGGGACACATTTTATAGACGTTTTCCAGGCTGGCCATCCCCAAGTGCCAACATGGATACATTGATTGCTTTTATTTAAATGAACTTCTGAGGAGGCAAAGTGAGAATACCTGGATGAGAGGAAAGATACAAAGTCTCGCTTGTCACTCTTCATTTGAACTTGTTACTGAGGCTAATAATATGGTACACAATTTCAATACAAGCAAACTGAAAAATGCACAGGGTAGCTAGAATAAGAACAATGCTATAGTAAGCGTTGGAAGAGCATGGTTTGTGAAGTTTGGAAGAGGCCAGGTCACACAGCTATTATG